>NC_000003.12:130220725-130372240 GCF_000001405.40 Homo sapiens | reverse complement strand
AAAGTGGCCACACTATTTTACATTCTCAGCAGCAGTGTATAAAGGTCCCAACTTCTCCACATTGCCATCAACACTTATTTTCCATTTTGTTATTATAGCCATTCTAGTGGGTATAAATGGTTTTCATTTGCATTGCCCTAATGATGAATGATGTTATCTTTTCAGGTACTTAATGGCCATTTGTATCTCTTATTTGGTGAAACATCTATTTAAATGCTTTACCCATTTTTAACTGGGTTTTTTGTCTTTTATTGTTGTAATATAAAAATTCTTTATATACTCTAGATGCTAGAATACTACATGCTTAGCAGATATATGACTTGCTAATATACTCCTGCCATTCTGTGTGTTGTATTTTCACTTTTTAAATGTGTCCTTTGAGGCACAAGTGATTTTAAATTTGATGAAGTCCAATTTATATGAGGTTTTTTGTTTTATTTTGTTCCTAGTGCTTTTAGTGTCATATCTAAAACACCATTGCCTACAGTCATGAAGAGTTACTTGTATGTTTTCTTCTAAGCATTTTATAGTTTAGCCTTGCATTTAGTTCTTTAACCCATTTTAAGTTGTTTTGTGTATGGGGTGAGGTAGGGATACAATTTCACTCTTTCGTATGTGGATATACAATTACCGTTGTCCTAGTACCATTTGTTGAAAAGACTTTTCTTTCACCATTGAATTGTCTTCACACCCTCATCAAAAACAAATTTACTATGAGTGGATGGGTTTATTTTTAGACTCTCAATTGTATTCTATTCATCTATATTTCTGTCCTTATGCCAGTATCACATAGTCTTGATTATGCTACCTTTTAGAAAGTTTTGAAGTTGGAAAGTGTGAGTCCTTCAACTTTGTTCTTTTTCAAGGTTGTTTTGGCTATTCTGAGCCCTGTGCATTTCTATATGTGTTTTAGAATCACCTTGTCAATTTCTGAAAAAAAAAAAGAAAAGGCATCTGGATTTTGATAGGAATTTCATTGAACAGGTAGATAAATTTATGGAGTTTTAGCATCTTAATATTGTTTTACAATCCATTACTATGGGCTTTCTGTGGAGAAGAGAATTTTTAGATCTCCTTATTTCATATTTTCACTGATGCTCTTTAAATATAGGAGATCATAAGAATTCAAAGATAAAGAGGAGGCCTTTCTGTACAGCCACGTGAATTCAGAAGCCAGTAAATGTTCAGAGCTGTGTATACATCCTTCTTTAGGTTGGGTGTATGTTTAGAGAGTAAGATTAAGCTGGTCTCAACCCAGTAAAGCTCAGTTGAGTTTTGCTTATGAACACTGGAGCCCAGAGTACCTACCCCAGGTGGCCATTCATGCCCACATCCCTTGGCTTAGCTCTGCTCCCATTCTTTCTTCAGCTCAAATTCCCACTTTGCATGTCTTGGCTCCAAAATAGTAGCAATAGCTTAATTTTGTAGAGGTGGAACTGCTGAGTAAAAAGTATATTTACTTTAAGTTTCTTTGGATACTGCCAAATTGCTATCCTTTGGGTACCAAATAATATTCCCTTACCTGCCCCAACATAGTATGTCTCACTATTTTCACTTCACATTCCTATTCGTCTTTTCCATTATTTACACTGTTTTTGTATAAGTTATTCTGATTAGTCTGTCTTTTTTATTGTTCATGCTTCTGAAATGAATAATTTTCTTCAGATATAAGCTTATTTTAATTCCCTTGGCAAGTAATATATGCCTGGGAACAGGGTGAAATTTGTATTCCTCCAGATAAGATGGATATAGAATAGGGCAGCCTCTCAGAAAAGAAAATGACCAGTGCTATAATCTAGGCTCTACCACTCCCAATCCCCTCTTCCAGCCCTGTAGTTATTCAGGGGAAGCCACTCTTTCTATGACTCTTGGTCCTTTGATGGCTCAACCTGTCTCTTTTGTAACATCTTGAAGTTTGGATTTGGTACATGAAGTCAGCAGGCAGTGCTAAATTTCCAGCTTTTCCAAAATTCAAAGTTTCCCATGCCAAAGGAAAAGTGAAAAAAATATTTAGAATATACAGACCCTAAGATATAATAGTAGGGGTCCCTTTGGAGAGAGTTGAATCACATCTCTAAGGCTCCTCCTAACTCTAAAATTCTCTGATCCTGTGATTCTATGATGGAAGGACCTGAGGTAGAGAGTAGCATGAATGAGTGATACTTTAAGGAATTAATTGGCCATTTTGGAGGAGATATACCCCAAACTAGACTTGGGGCCCAACGAAACTCCAAGTTTGAATAGCTACCAAGTGAACCAACACACCCTTTCTCACACTTTCAAATGCTCAAACTCTCAGAGGCTGACTGGGAATTCAAAGTTAGTATCACATCTGAGGGAAGGGCACCCCAAGCCCACTTCAGGGTAGACCAACAGCCAAACTGCACATCTGGAGAGAAGGCACACATGCTGAGGGCTGGGCATCAATCAGCTGGCCTTGCTATTTCCTGTGGGGATGCTCAGCACATGTAGATCAGCCACATAGAGATGGGGGCTAAAGCTCCCTAGCCACTGCCAGGAGACAAAATAAGAGAATAATAATAGACTAATGAATAATCATGTCCCTTCTTTTGATTGCATTCCTTTGGTCAAAAATATCTGTGAAGACAAATCTCACTCATTCTGAATGAGAAACTGTATTTTTTATGGGGCAATCTATTTTATAACCTATGGCATGAGGTGTTAAAGTGACTTGGTGAAGTAGGGAGAAAAAGCTTAATTTAGCAAAATATAAAGGCACATGATAAAGCTTGCAACCCTCTAAGAGGTTCAGACACTAAAGGGAAAAAGAAATTATTTAACAAGTTATAACTGCATAGCAAAGGCCTCGGTGTAATTCTTGAATCCATGAGATTGGAAGTATGTAAACAGTTTATTGGAGGTTTAGACTGCTAAATCCTAAATCAAACATGCCACAAATATTGCAAAAGTAATTGCAGTTTTTGCCATTAAAAGTAATGGCAAAGTATAGCATTCTGAAAGAGAAAGTTTAATTTATCTTTCTCTCCTTTTGCAGTCAAAGGAGCAAAAAGCCCTGAAATATGGTAAGAAATAAAGGTCAGGTCATCTCCCCTCTGTCCTCTACACTATTTCCCTTCTCCCTAATGCCTGCCTTCTAGTTTCCCTGGTTAAGCATCCCTCACTCAGGATTTATGCAACAAAAGCTGGCCAGAATATGGAGCTCCAGTAGAGGGAGAAGGGCACAGCTTTAGGAACCACAGTCTCCAGTTGATAAGGGCCGTAGGCTGCAAATGCACCATCCATGCACTCCCACCTGAGGATCTGAGGTCACAGAACCAGTCCATGGCTGAGCTAAAGCTTAAATTCTCGGCTTAGCCTCCCTGGTGCCTTATCCCATTTCTGGAGCATCTGGAAGGCACATTGAGTTTTCCTGTCAAAACAAACTGTGAGGCTAGATAATTATTTAGCCTTATTTTCCTGTGCTGGCTGTCCATCCTGTGGGTGCCATATGACTCTACTTCCTTTGGTTTTCATTACTTTTGTTTCCTCCATGGCACCACTCCTCCACACTCTCAAATCTGTCCACACCCAGACACTCATTCTAGCCACCTGGACTGCCAAGACCCTCCTCTTCTTTGGTACCTATCATATTCTGCCTTGTACTGAAGTTACTGAAAGACTTTCTTAATCCCCCACTTCTCCTCCTTACCCAGTAACACACACACACACACACTCTCTCACACACACTCACACATACACACCGACCACTAACACCTATAAACTCCTTGAAGGCAGGACTGGACTCTTCGTTCCTTGTCACTGAACGTCCCACTTGCTTAGGTCAGTGCCTGCTTTAGAACAGGTTCTCAAGAAGTATTTGCTGGATTGAGTTAATTACTGAGGAAGTGATTAAAAGCCCCATTTATCCAACTATTGTGCCCATTAAACCTCACACAGAAGGAATTCCAGAAATTTCTAGAAGCAAAAGGCCATGTTTGGAATATCCTGCGACTGATAAAGTAAGGATCTATGCATGGGAAGCAAACTCCACTGATTTGAGCAACTCTGGGGCACAGCTGAACACCATATTGGAGCATTCCAGACAAGTCCCAGGGAGCCTGCTGTAGCAGGAGAGGCTGTGTAAACCATCCTGGTTCCATCTTTTCAAAAGGCAGAGGCCTTACAAATCTTCCAGGGTCAGCTCTGGGAAGAAGTAGGTGTGGCGAGGAGGTTTGGCAGCAGTACTAGGACCAGTATGTCCTTTAATACAGGCTGGGTAAAGAATCTGAGAAGTGAAGATGCAGAGTTCTTGCCTGGCTAGAAAAAACTTCATTCCAATGCCACAGACATTTCTGAACAATCATGACGCATGAAGCTTACTGCATACAATATGAGAAAATGAAGATAAAGACCTAGTCCTTACCTAAAATAAGAATAGAATCTTTGCCTGACCAAATCCGACTCATGATTTAGAACTTGATTCAGCAAAGTTTTCCCACCTCTGTAGTCTCACTGGACCTTATAATTTATATATATATCCACACATATGTATGCATGCTTGGGTCTGAGAGATTATTTATCCATTCAACAAATATTCCTCAAGTGCCAACAATGTTCTTAGCACTTTTGTAGGCAGTTTGGATTTAGCCGTGGACAAAACAGACAAAAAGCTTGCCTGGAGACTTGAAATCTGGTTGCCTACATGTCCACCTCCCATTCTGAACTGCAAACTTCTTTAGAGTAGAGACCAAGTATGTTTGATACATCTTTACGTCTCCAGTGCTTGGCAGAGTGAGTATTCAGGAAGAAAGGAGAAGAGGAAATGAAGGCAGGTCGGAAGGCAAGTGCTCGTGCAAATGCTGATAAAATATGGGAGGATGAGGTATTATTTCAAATGAGGGAATCGACAAAAATATCATGCACAAAGGGGAAGAGGAGAGATCAAGGATCCCAGGTAGAGAGGTGTCTACAACTGGATTACACAGCACATCCGCAGAAGGAAACTGTTTCTCAAGTTCTTCTTTTTGGGAAATGTCTGATATCACATTCTAATAATACTTTTATCAGAGGAAACTGGATTAGGACAGAAGGCAGGAATGCTTATGCCACCAGCTCCTAAAACCTAAACAAATAAGACCTATCAGAAACACGGGCTACAGTTTAATTAACACATCTAACAACCATCACGTTCCCAGTCTTCCAACACTGCTGCTTATAGATAATTTATGGAACTGAAATAGGCTTTGGACACAGAGTGAAACACATAAAATTCTTCCTCCAAGAGCACACAATCTATTTGGGGAGCCAGGACAGTGGCATGAAAAGATGAAATATAGAAAGCCACAAACATTAGCCCCCTAACAACTATGGGGGTTATTTTGTAAGGTCAGTAAAGGTCATAAACCTATTGGTTTTGACTAAAATGTCACTGCAGGCTCCATCATACAATAACTGTCTATGGCATTTACTTCAATGCCTACCCCATAGTAGGTGCATAGTGAATATTTGTTAAAAGAATAAATGAACATGATGTTTCAGAATAAATTGTAAAGAACAGTTAGAATGCAGTTTAAAGAATAAAATACAGCACTTCAGAGTATAATTTATAAAAAGACATCAAAAGGAAATATACAAAAGCCCTTGATATACTCTAAAGTCTTCTACAACTTTGATCAGGCATTGTGGAAAGAATATCAAGGAATCAGAACTCATAATTCAAACCATGAGCTCCTCTCTGAGACTTGCTTCTGTAATCTATAAAACAAGAGGGTTGGACTTGAGCTATAGAATGATCTCATTTTGTAAATTAGAGTACAGGCCGTCTGGGAACATGGGCTCAACGAAAGGCATAAAATGAGTGAGCAGGTCCAGCCCTACAAGGTGTGGGCCTCTCAGAAAGGCAAGATGTCACCCTTCTTGCAAGAGCATTGGCAAAAACCACACTGATATATACAGAAGCCCCCTCTATCAGAGCCCAGGCATCAGAATTTTGTTTCAAGTATTATTAATTACTGTTCAAGTATCTAACCCATAAGCTTCTTATACACCAGATTTTAAAAAATAAACATCCCTAGATAGAAGAATGTCTTGCTTATGTTACTAATCCTTCTATTTGCCACAACTTCATAAGGCCTATTATATCCACATGGAAATAAATGACATTGGACCACAGCTGCCATCCAAATCATGAAGGCCCCAAATCAGCAGCATTACTATCCATAGTTTCAGTAGCCTGCTTTCCTGCTCTAGGACCCTTATGGGGTCTGGTTGCGTGCCTCATTATTAGGGTTGTGGCTGAGAAAACAAAATGTGGCTTGGCTCGCTCTTCTCATTATTACTTTCTTAAGAAAGAACAGGCTGTGGGCTGGTGATTCTCAATTTTGGCTGCACACTAGAGAGCTATTAAAAATATTGATGCCAGGTCCCACTCCCAGAGTTTCTGACTCAATTGGTCAGGGGCATGGTCTGAACACTGGGATTTTTTTAAACACTCCTGGTGATTCCAATGTGCAGCCAAGGTTGACGACCACTAAGTTAGGCCATCCTGAATGGTGTAAGCAAGCTCTCTACAGAAAACACAGAGGTACAGTCCCAGAGAGAAAATCTGGGCCTCAATGTCTTTATCTGTAAGTTGTGGTCAATAACAGCTATAACATTGTGTTGTTGAGAAGTTTACATGAGACCATGTACATAAAACATCTTAGGCCAGGCGCGGTGGCTCACGCCTGTAATCCCAGCACTTTGGGAGGCCGAGGCGGGCGGATCACGAGGTCAGGAGATCGAGACCATCCCGGCTAAAACGGTGAAACCCCGTCTCTACTAAAAATACAAAAAATTAGCCGGGCGTAGTAGCGGGCGCCTGTAGTCCCAGCTACTCGGGAGGCTGAGACAGGAGAATAGCGTGAACCCGGGAGGCGGAGCTTGCAGTGAGCCGAGATCTCGCCACTGCTCTCCAGCCTGGGCGACAGAGTGAGACTCCGTCTCAAAACAAAACAAAACAAAACAAAACATCTTAAAGGAGACATCTGTTGATTTTGTCTGCCCAACGTTCATTACTCCTTCTGAGGATTCTCCTTCCCCACTTTCAAACCATGTAGTTGCTTAAATCTTGACCTCACTCCTACTCCAGGAAAGTACACCTGGCTTAGGCCAGCATTGCTACAGTCACTGTGATTGATCCAACAATGAGCACCTGACCTACACCATCAAAGTCAGAGAGAATCAGCCAGTATACAGGTTTTGCCACCATGAAGAAGAATCCCAAGATCAAGAGAGATGTATCTTTGATGACATCAACTGAGCACCTTGATCAGCCTGATCAATCCCTCGACTTTTCAGGTGTCTCAGTCAATAAATTCTATTTTGTGTTTGAGCTAGTTTGGGTTGGGTTTTACTAATACATGAGCAAAAAGAATCCTGACCAGAATTCAATTGACAACCTTTGAAAATGCCTGGATACCAGACCTGCTGGGATATCCAATATTAGGGCCTCTATTGATGGTTCTTTCCTGCTGCAACTTTGCAGAACAAGACTCACTGGAGAGATCTCGAATTCCTAGTCCCTTTGCACCTGACCAGGCATCATAGTATCCACATCGTTTTTCCCTCTGCTTCAAGGCTGAAGGACTTTGCGCTTTTCTTAAGTGCAAACTCAAATCCTAATTATACTTCAGAACTAGACCCGCCTGCTCTCTGACTACTGCAGCCTCTGTCTAATCCTCCATATTTCCATCTGCCCCAAACACTCAGTCTACATCACCATCACCATTTTTTAATAGCTAAGATGTATACTCTATTTAGCTGTACTGTTTATTTGTGTGTATATGTTTGGTAGTGCTATCTCCACTGAAACTTTTGAGAGAAGGTACCATGTTTTCTTCTACTTTGGGGTTGTCCTAATACAATGCAAAGCAAGTAAATGCCTGCTAACCTTAAAGGATATAGTAGGTTAGGGGGAAATGCAGAAATGGATATGCAGAGTATGATCCCAATTTTTTAAAATGTCATATGCATTTATTTCTAAGATGTGGGGTCGAGGATATTTTTGGTTCATTCTTAAATTAGAAATTATTTTTCTGAAGTAAAGCAAACATAAAAATTTGAGAAAAAAATCACAAATATAATATGTGGCTTCCCAGGACAGTGCCAGTTTATGACTGTGGTCCCAGTGCAACGATTAATAGCACCTTAGTTATCTCTTAAAATTGCCCTGGGACTATGGTTTCTAGTTTGCTGTGTGGTAGCTTGGAAGTAAGTTGTCACTCCATCCTAAAAACAAGTGAAAAACTAAGCAAACTGAAAATTAACAATTTTTCTTTGTCACAGGGAAAACCACTGCCCCAAAATTGAAGAGACAGACAGGAGGATACAGAAAATCACAAGTACAATTTATTGGAGCAGAAACTCATGAGCTGAAACCTTTGCAGGAACCAGTGCTGGGGTAGGAAAACTTGAAGTGTAATTGACAAATGGCTGAAGGTGCAATGTGGACAAGTCTAATAGTTAAAAATTCCAGAAAAGCAAGTGTTAAAGTGGCACCCACACTTTCGTTAAGTTTTACCTCAGGGAGCTCTATCAAACTCTCACAGTAAAGATAAAAGAAAAAATTTCTCATTATTCAGCAGGGTGAGGGGAATGGAAACCATTTTTAAATACACCACAGCACACTGTTCTTCTTAACAAGGCATGTTCTCAAGAGAAACTATTTCACCAGAACTCAACCTGCTGGGGTTTTATCAGAATCTAGCTGGCCTAGACGAAAGGAAATACCCAACTCTAGTCCCCATTACACCATCCTGTCCCTCCCAAGAGTGGTGGAAGAGAGGATGAGAGGCATTTGTAAAGTTCATAGCTCGGGAACACAGGCTCACTAAAGGACTGAAACCTAATCAGAGAACTATAGAATGCTTCTTCTCACTCCATACCTTACCACTAAATCTGCCACTACATCATTAAAGTCCTATTTACAGGATGAGTAAGGGTGAATTTGAATTATTTTGTTATTATAAGTTATTTGCACTACCTGTGAAGCAGTATAGTGATATTTGAAAGTATACTTGGATTAGTTATAAATGCAAACTCTAGAGCAACCACTAAAGAATGAAGTATAACTGATATGCTAAGTAAGGAGAGAGAATTGAATCCTAAAATGCTCAACTAAAACCACAAAAAAACAGAAAAGAGTAGAAGACAAAATTGGAACAAAAAACAAAGGCAACAAATAGAATATAGTAACAAATATGGTAGATATTAATGCATCTGTATCAATAATCACTATAATGGTTTAAATGCACAACTAAAAGAGATTGTCAGAAATTAAAACACATTGAATATATGTTCTCTTCAAGGAACCTGTTTAAATATAGATAAATGTAGATTAAAAGAAATTGGATAGAGAAAGATATACCATGCTAATGCTAATTAAAAGAAAGCAGGAGTAACCATATTAATTTCAGACAGAGAAAACTTCAGAGCCAGGGAAGTTATCAGAGATAAAGAGGGGCATTAGAGATATTCCATGTTCATGGATAGAAAGACTCAGTACTGTCAAGATGTCAGTTCTTCCCAAATTGATCTGTAGATTTAACACAATCCCAATCAATGTCAGCAAGTTATTTTGATATTGACAAACTGATTCTAAAGTTTATATGAAGAGGCAAAAGACTCAGAATAAACAATACAATTTTAAAGGAGAAGAACAAAGTTGGAGGACTGACACTTCCTGACTTCAAGACCTTCTGTAAAGCTACAGTAATCAAGACAGTGTAGTACTGGTGAAAGAATAGACAAATCAATGGAACAGTCTGGAGAGCCCAGAAATAGACCTGCACAAATACAGTCAACTGGTCTTTGACAAAGCAGCAAATGCTATACAATGGAGCAAAGACAGTTTTTTCAACAAACAGTGCTGAAACAACCAGACATCCACATGCAAAAAAAAAAAAAAAAAAAAATATATATATATATATATATATATATATATATATATATGGAGAAAGACAGAGACAAAGAGAGAGAGAGAGAGAGAAAGAAACCTTACACCCTTCCCAAAAATTATCTCAAAATGGGTCACAGACCTAAATGCAAAATGCAAAACCATAAGCTCCTAGAATATAACATAGGAGAAAATCTAGATGACATTGGGTTTGGCAACGACTTATGAAATACAACACCAAAGACAAGATCCATGAAAAAAAATAATTAATGAACTGTACTTCATTAACATTAAAATGTCATGCTTTATGAAGGGCACTGTCAACAAAATGAGAAAACAAGCCACAGATTGGTAGGCAGGGGAAGGTTTGCAAAAGACATATCCAATAAAGGACTATTACCCAAAATATACAAAGAACTCTGAAAACTCAACAATAAGAAAACAAAATATCTGAACAGACTTCTCATCGAAGAAGACATGCAGATGGCTAACAAGCATATGAAAAAATGGTTAACATCATATGTCATTACGGAATTGCAAATTAAAAGAGTAAGATGCTACTACACACCCATTAGTATGGTGAAAATCCAAAACACTGACAACACCAAATGCTGGCAAGAATGTGAAACAATAGGAACTCTCATTTACTGCTGACAGGGATTAATGCAAAATGGCACAGCCACTTTGGAAGACAATTCAATAGTTTCTTACAAAACTAAACATATTCATCCCATACAATCCAGCAATCACGCTTCCTGGTATTTACCCAAATGAGTTGAAAACTTACATCCATACAAAAAACTACACGTGGATGTTCAGCCTTATTGATAATTGCCAAAACTTGGAAGCAAACAATATGCCTTTTAGCTGGTGAACAGATGAACTATGGTATATTCAGGCCAATAGATTATTTAGGACTAAAATGAAATATACTATCAAGCCATTAAGAGACATGAACCTTAAATGCATATTAATAAATGAAAGAAGCCAATCTGAAAAGGCTATATACTGTATTTTTACAACTGTATGACATTCTGGAAAGGGTAAAACTACAAAGACAGTAAAAAGATTTGTGGCTGTCAGTGGTTAGGAGGTATGGAGGGATGAACAGGTGGAGCACAGACGATTTTTAAAAACTATTCTGTCTGATCCTATCATAATGGATACATGTCATTATACATTTGCCAAAATTCACCAAATGTACATTCCCAAGAGTGAACCCTAACATAAACTTTGGACTTTGGATGATAATGATGTGTCAGTGTAGGTTCATCGATTGTAATAAATGTACCATGTTGGTGCAGGATATTGATAGCAGGGGAGGCCTCATGTGTTTAGGGTAGGGGGGCATATAGGAACTTTGTACTTGTTGCTCAATTTTGCTGTGAACTTAAATAGAACATCAGTTTGGGCACGAGAGACTTTTTGGGATTATGGAAATGCTCTCTATACTGATTATGGTTACATGGAAATATGCATTTGCCAAACAGTTCCAATAGTACACTTAAAATTGATGCATTATATTATATATAAATTATATCTCAAAAGGGTTGACTTTGTTAAGTGCACAGTTTGGATGATGAATGATTTTATCATAAGAATGGTATAACAAACAAAGGGCTATGGTAGTAGTCTGGACTAGCAATAAAGGTGTGCACAGAGCCTTTAAAAATAATAACAGAACAAACTTGGCCTGCTTTATTATCCCCAATGAGCAAGCAATGTTAATCAATGTCAGTAACAATCTTCACCTTCGTGGCTGCATGGACTGCTTTCACCACAAATGATACATATTCCCATTCCCTAGAGACGTAATAAAACTCCTACTGGTTTGGATGTATTCTTCCAGAAGGTTTCCCTCTGCATAAATGAATCATAATCTACATTAGTCGAATGCTGCCTGCATCTTAAAATCAGTATATGATCAAAACCGGCCTAAGCTTAAATATCCCCCTCATAATATGAATTTGAAGAATCCAAGAATAAATCAGAAGTTTTACCCCAAATGTGTAAATTATTATCATTTTATTAAAACTTTAATAGCAAAATTATTAAAAATTGGCATTAGAGTACAGGAACAATATTCTCAGCACTGGTACCTGCTGGATTGTTCTTGAAGCCACTGCATTACATTTATGCCACACTAAGCAGATGCTCGTTTGCAGTTGATGTCTAGGAAGAGCATGTAATTTGGAGATCTATTGGGGATTTTTCCCATAAAACTTCCTTTTTTTCTTCATTCTCTTTATATTCTTTCTGGTGTTTGGTATGAAAATGATTTAATATAAATATTGGTTATTTGGTAATTTTCCTTGTCTTAAAATTTTGAGCTGATGTAGTTGTCATTCCCCCATAACAAACGGTCATGAATTGTGAACAATTCAAAAGTAGAATTTTTCTTGAAAATTAATGGTCTAGGTGGAAGTAAATAACTAAAAATAAAATCCACTTCATAAAGATAACTTTCTGTAATATCATGAGTGCTAATATACTAAGCTAAACTTTTCTGTAAAGAAAAAGTAAGTAAATATTTCAGGCTTTGTAGGCCAGACCGTCTCTAGGAAAAATATACTACTCAATTTTGCCCTTCCAAAAGCAGCCACAGAAAATATGTAAACAAACAAGCATGACTGCAGAACCACCTATGACTTCTGCGGGTCCTACACACTTTTGCCTTATGGGATCCTCTCATAATAAAATGAATTAAAAAATTATTTTTGCTGTAGGTCCTATACACTTTTGCTTTATAGGATTCTCTTACCATAATAAAATAAATTAAAAATTATTTTTGATATAACTTTAAGTACTTTAAAATTTAATTTATTTCTGTTTTAGGCAAAATTTAATAGACTTATGAGTCCTAAAAATTACATTTTTTTCCTTGTGTGAGAAAAAAATAAACAATTTTTGACCTAAATATTCATTTTTCTTCTAATTTTTTTTAAATTAAACATTTCATAGGCTTCTAAAAAACTGTGCCTAATGGATAAATTGGCCCTGCATGGCTGTGCTCCAACAAAACTTTATTAGGTAGCAAGTTGTTAAACCTGCACAAAACAATTATACATGTTTAGTATTGTTATATAATCTCTATTATTCTGCCTGGCATTGTTTCTTAAATTTTAAAAACAATTGATGGCTCAAATATTCTTCCTAAATGTACCTACCTCATTCATACTGTATTAATAATCATATTAACTGTCAATCTATTTCTATATGTATTTAACCATTTGAAAGTCCTTAAAAATTGTCACAGACTGGATTGACCACACTAGTTGAAATCAACATCCATTCTGATTAGTCAATGCCTACTCATTGTTGACTATTTTTAATATCACTCTTGTATCTACTTCATTCATCTTAACAGCTGCATAGTACTTCTTTATATCAATGTTTATTTAATCAATTCTTTATAAATAGATATTTAGATTGTTTCCAACTTTTTCACAATTCCAAACAATGTTGCAATAAACAACATTGCACAGTGGAAGAAGTATTATATTTCTAAAGGATCACTTACTAGGAATGGAAATTTGGGGTCAAAACGAATGTATATCTAAAATTATGGCCAATATTAGACAACTGCAGCAAAAAGGTATGCCAAATCATATTTTCCCTCAGGAACATATGGAAGTCCTTATTTCCCCACACTCTCACAACATACTTTTGAAGTTTTGGAATCCTGATTGGGGGGAAAAAATTCCACATTACCACATGGCTCTTTGAATTTGCATTTCTATAATTACTAGTGAGATTGGGAAAGGTATTTTTCTATGAACTGTACACTTAAGATTTTTGACCATTTTGCCTGTGAGTGCTTGTCTTTGCATTTATTTTTATGTGCTCTTGATATATTATGAATATACACAGTCCTAGATGTTTTATATTTGTTGCTATTGTAAATTGAATCTTTTCTCTTACTCATGTTACTAAATTATTTATATTGACCACTTTGCTGAACTTTCTTGTTGGCTTGCTTAGACTTTTCCAGTATATTCTCATTTTAAATAAAAATAACAATAATTTTGCCTTCTCCTTTCTCAATGTATATACCTTTTATTATTACATTGACCAGAACTTCAACAAAGTGGTTAAAGAGTGGTGTTGATAATGTTCCTAACTTAATGGTAATTTTTTATTTATTTATTTTTTTTTTTGAGACGGAGTCTTGCTCTGTCACCCAGGCTGGAGTGCAGTGGTGCAATCTCGGCTCACTGCAAGCTCCGCCTCCCAGGTTCACGCCATTCTCCTGCCTCAGCCTCCCGAGTAGCTGGGACTACAGGCGCCCGCCACCACGCCCGGCTAATTTTTTGTATTTTTAGTAGAGACGGGGTTTCACCATGTTAGCCAGGATGGTCTCGATCACCTGACCTCGTGATCCGCCCGCCTCAGGCTCCGAAAGTGCTGGGATTACAGGCATGAGCCACCATGCTCGGCCAGTTAATAGTAATATTTTAAGTGTTTTCTTCATTACACATGTTATGATGGCAGTTGGTTTATAATATATATTTCTAATTATGTTAAAATATTTCTTCTTATTTTAACCTAAGATTTAAGAAAATCAAGAATGGCTGCTAAATTTTACCTTGCCGAATACCTTTTCAGCATCTACTACAATGATCACATATGCTTTTTCTTTTCAAATATAACCATATATTGAACTTTATTTACAAAATATTCGTGAATAGAGTTATTAATATTGAATGACTTTTGCTTTTCTAAAATAAATTCCACTTCATTATCCTACATTTCCTTTTATGTGCTGTTGAATTTTACTTGCTAATATTTGATTCGGGAATTTTGCATTATTGTTCAAAGGTGAGAATGCCTATTATTTTTGTGTGTGTGAGCTATCTTTGCCAGGTATCAATCATGTTGGATTCATAAAAATGATCTGGAAGCTTTTCTTCTTTCTCTTTGTTCTAAACATTTTAAGTGACAGAGCAATTGCCAGTTATTGGGAGTTTTGAAAGGAATTACCCATATACCGACAAGGCCAAAAGTGTCAGCTTTCAGCAATTCTCAGTTCCTTCCAGGTTACCAGCCACTTAGATTTTCTGTTGCTTCTTTAGTTAGATTTTGCAGTTATCATTCATGTGCCCTCCTATCATTTTCCATTTCATCCTGGTTTCAAATTGTTTATTGTAAAGTCAAATAAATTATTCCCCCTTTTTTTCTACTCTCTAGGGTTATGTCTAATTTCTCATTCATAGAGAATACATTTGTTTTCATTCTTCCTTTTTGTCTGGATTATGGTAACTAGTAAATTATACTGTTTACTGTGAGTTTTTCCCAAAAGACATTTTTCATTTACTAATCAATTCTTTTGGTATTCTTTGTCTTAATTCTCAATTTTCTGTGTTTATTTTTACTTCATTCTATTTTACATAGGTTTGTTTTGCTTTACCCCTAACTTGTTGAATTGAATGATTAATCCATTTCTATTCTTTCCTATGTGGTAATAAGAGCTTTTTGAGGCAACGCATTTTCCTGAGTACAGCATCAGCTTTGACATGCAAGCCTGCTCATCATTACTACAGGCCAGATATTCCTCAATTATGGTTTGAAATTTTTCAAGTGACTGCATTTTCAATTTCTTCAATTGAAAATCAAGAGATTTTCCATTTTGATTTGGTTGTTTTATTGGAGTTGTTTTATTTTTCAGTGTGAATGTAGCTCTTTTATTAGTTACTTTTGGTTTTAATGCATTGTGGTTAGAGAATGTAGTCTGTACTCTTTTCTGGAATATGTCAAAGTTTCCCCTATATATAACCTAGTATATATTAGGTCGGTGCAAAAGTAATTGAGGTTTTTGCTATTACTTTTACTTTTAATGGCAAAACCGCAATTACTTTTGTACTGACCTAATATAACGCTCAGTTTTTGAAATGCTTAATAAATGCTAGAAAAGAAACAATATTTGCTCCTGATGATAGAGTTCATTATTAGTCTATTAGTTCATCTTTATTTATTTTTGCCTATCTTAACTCTCAAGGACTAATATGAGTGTCTCAACATTTCCCCTACAACTATATTTTCATCAATTCTCTTATTTCCTGCAGTTTCTGCTTTATGCATTTCTACACCATGCTAGTTATTTCATAAGGTTTATGACAGTTATCTCTTCAATGTGGAACATATTCATAACTTGTTTACCATGATTATCTGACTTTTGATTATCGCTTGCGCCATCACTGTCTGCTTTGGCCCACTGTTGTATCCTCAATTTCTGTCGGTACCTGGTCAATAGTTAAAACTTCATAAATCTTGGTTGAAAAAAAGAAGATGCAAAAAAAGGAAGAGGAGGGCAGAAAAAAGTATGCACTACACCTCAATTTAATATAGTTTTTATTGACCTCAACATTTTCTGATATAACATCATAAACCCTGCTTCCTCTTGGGTAGTATGTCTTTTATAAGCAACTTATCAAATCTCTTTTGTTTTGGTTGTATCTATTGTAGATAGTGTGTGGCTGGATTCAGCTTTTTGATCAGATCTGTGATTCCTTTTTTTTTAAAGTAAGGACTTAAACTCTTTCTATTTTATATTACAAAATATATGTTTGGGCTTACGTCTGTCATCTCTTTTAAATACATAATTCTTTACTTTCCACTACTATTTGTTTTGTTTAATTTATTTTGCCTTATCACGTTTCCATTCATTTTCTATTTCCCTTTCATTAATCATTAACTTTATGTGTGTGGGTATATATATTTTTTATTTTACTAGTTTACCCTAAGTGTGTGTGTGTGTGTAAAATTTTACTAGTTTACCCTAAGTATTTGAGAGGTGTATATATCTCTCTCTAATTTTCACTTAGGGTAAACTGGTAAAATAATTTGTAAATAAAATGTTTTAACTTTTATTTCCAAATTCATCAACTTTAGAAATAAAATAATATTGATAACTTCCACCTATGAAAGATAAAATTAGTCTGCTTACTTTTCCTTTCTCTTCTTTAATTTTTTGTTTGTGTTTTATAGGGGCAAGAGGAATCTCTCAATCTATTATCATGAAATTATCTTTTAAATTTTAGGGATTTTTATATCATAGCTTTTCTTTCAAGAAGTGTAATTCTTGCTTTGTGATTATAATACCACAGTTATTTCAAGTTTATTTTAAAATTTAAATAGAATGTGCACTCCCAGTTTGTATCTATTATAGGTTTTTAATTTTGATTCTTCTTTTTGCCATACAAAGCAACCCACATCAGCACTATTGGATAGAAACACAATGCAAACTGTGTATGTAATTTTAATTTTTTTGGTAGCACATTAACAAAAGTAAAAAAAAGGTGAAATTAATTAAATAATATATTTTACTTAACCCAATATATCTAAAGTATTACAATTTCTATGTATAACCAATATAAAAATTATTAATGAGATATTTTACTTTATTAATACTAAGTCCTCAAAATCTGCTGTGTATTTTACTTCTATGGCACATCTCAACTCAGTCTAGCTACATTTCAAATGGCCAGTAGCCAATACAGTGAGTGGCTACCATACTGGATAGCACAGCTATAAATCATGGAACACGCAGGAAATTACAATATTATTCAGGTCCTTAGCCCATGGCCTTCCATCCCAGAGTCCCAGGCTAAAGAGATCAATGTCTCAGCCTATCATAGTTCTTACAAAGCACACCAGCTGTGAAGCTCTGGGCTAGATGACTCTTCAAGTAGTACTTCTAGGAAGTGACTCTTTTAGGAAGTGGTTAATTAAGAAAGTGTTTCTCAAGCTTTAACGTGCGTATGAATTAACTGGGCATCTTATTAAAATGTAGACTCTGATTCAGCAGCTTTGGAGTGAGCCCTGAGTTCTGCATTTTTAATAAGCCCCTAGAGAATGTTGGTTCTCGGAAAACACTTTGAGTAAGAAGGGATTGGGTTCTACGTAGTGGGGTTTTGCATACCCAATGATGTATCTGACATTTTTTCAACTTGCTGTCTAGAGCAATCTAAATCACTGCTGTTTAATAGAAATATAACACAAGCCACATATAGAATGTGGCTATAGAAATCTTGGGTCCCATTCATTTCCTTTTCCCGCTAAGGTTCTTATATTAATTGGAACCCACTTTCATTCTCTTCTGGAATCTGATGTTGCTGAGACAATTTATACAGCTAGTGTAATTTATTTTTTCTTTCCTGCTTGGATATTTTATCCTTTATCCTTAAATATCATCATGCTAATCTTCCTTCCTTCCTTCTTTCCTTCCTTCCTTCCCCTTTCTTTCTCTTTCTTCTTTTCTTTTTTTGTTCTTTTCTTTTCTTTCTTGTTTGCTTGCTTTTCTTGCTTTCTCTACTTCTCTCTTTCTTTTCTTCCCTTATCCAGAACATGGTGAGACTTTTGATCTGTGAATTCAGATGTTCTTTTACTTTGGGAAGGCTTTCATCTAATTCCACATTTCTTTAATTAAAAGATGCGTCTTTTTCACATTTTAATCTTTTTCAACTATAAATATAAGTGACATATTCATTTAATATTTTATGGTTTTCTTCTATTCCTCCAAAATTAATTTTTAAATTGGCGGTGCATCTTGAAATTACTAACAGTTTGAGATCAAAGAAATAAATGTTTTATATTTATTTTCAGTTCCTTTTGTTCTTTTTTTTTCAGAAATTTTACTTAGCCCTTTGCTGTTTTTCTGTTGTCTGTTTTTCATTATTATTATACTTTCTTACCACTTCTCTCTCTTTTCTTTGTAGTCTGCATTCTATGTGATTTTTTTCCCAAAGCCATCCTCTAAATCAAAACTCTATTTTTCACAAGATTTACATATATCTAGCTGCTTCTAATTTAGGTTTTAGTTTTGTAACAGTTTTATTTTCCTTCTGGACTTTCTTGGCTTTGCTTCTCATTCTCTCTTGCATTTCTTTCAGCTCTTGATTTACAGAACTGTGTTGTCTAATGCCTCAAGTTTGGAGTTTTGTTGACTGAAACAATTCTTGATCTTTGTTTTGCACGTAACAAATGCTTCTTTCCTTTGTGGAAGTATTTTCGCATCAGACCCGTACTGGTGCTTTTGGGTTTTCTGTGTAGCCTTTGGATATGTGTTTGTGGGAGGAGTAAAGTTGAGGAAAGACAGGTCCAACAGGGAGTGCTCCTACATATTTCACATTCATGTCCTTGGCTATTTTGTAGTTTATTGCTATTGAGAACAGAAATGTTCCTCTCATTATAGTTTTAACTGGTCATTGCTACTTTATAAAAAAGCTTTTGATTTTGTCTGGATTTATTTTGCAGTCAGCTATCTTAACATTAGGTTTCATAATTTTCACTTGATTCTCTTATTTACAGTCTATCTGGAACAGCAAACACTTACATGTTTCTTATTATGTGCCAGTCTCTATACTTTGTTTTTTATCTTTACAATTTCTATATGAGGCAAGTACTCTTAGTTAATGTCACAGAAGAAAGTGATATCAAGCACCCTGCCCAAATTCACAAAGCTAGTAAGTAGTAAAACGCTGATTTGAACTAAGGTAGATGGGCTCTTAAATCATCACCCTGCTGTTTGCAAAATTTGATTATGTTATCTCCTTCTGTCCAAATAATTTTTGGAAAATAATATCACAATGGTTAAAATTAAGTATATACGGTTATCTTTATTATCTCATTTCTTCTACAACTTGCCCCCTCTCCACTAAGGAGATGCACTAGTTGTCAGAAGAGCTAAGGTTTACAGTAGCTCTGTACTAACTGGGTATGTGGCCTTGAGCAACTGTTTATCATTCTGAGCCTCAACTTGATCATGAATGAAGTGATAATAAATACATCTACCCATTTTACAAACTCTCAAGGTTACTGTGGGGTTGAAATATAATTATTTATGTAAACTGCTTTAAAATCTAGATAGAGAGATCATTATTACTCTAATTTCACACCGAGAGTACTTCTCAAAGAATCCAGTTGCCAATAAGCTTGTTATTATCACTTTCTCTCTACCATCTGTTAGTCTCTAACACACACACTCTACTACCTACTACCCACAAACATTGCCACTTGCCATTTTCCAACGAATCTTTTTTTTTTTACACCTTAAGTTCTAGGGTACATGTGCACAATGTGCAGGTTTGTTACACAGGTATACATGTGCCATGGTGGTTTGCTGTATCCATCAACTCATCATTTACATTAGGTATTTCTCCTAATGCTATCCCTCCCCCAGCCCCACACCTGCTGACAGGCCCCAGTGTGTGATGTTCCCCGCCCTGTATCCAAGTGTTCTCATTGTTCAATTCCCACCTATGAGTGAGAACGTGCGGTGTTTGGTTTTCTGTCCTTGTGATAGTTTGCTGAGGATGATGGATTCCAGCTTGATCCATGTCCCTGCAAAGGACATGAACTCATCCTTTTTTATGGCTGCATAGTATTCCATGGTGTATATGTGCCACATTTTCTTTATCCAGTCTATCATTGATGGACATTTGGGTTGGTTCCAAGTCTTTGCTATTGTGAATAGTGCCACAATAAACATACGTGTGCATGTGTCTTTATAGTAGAATGATTTATAATCCTTTGGGTATATACCCAGTAAAGAGACCACTGGGTCAAATGGTATTTCTAGTTCTAGATCCTTGAGGAATTGCCATACTGTCTTCCACAATGGTTGAACTAATAAACACTCTGACCAACAGTGTAAAAGTGTTCCTATTTCTCCACATCCTTTCCAGCATCTGCTGTTTCCTGACTTTTTAATGATCACCATTCTAACTGGCGTGAGATGGTATCTCATTGTGGTTTTGATTTGCATTTATCTGATGTCCAGTGATGACAAACATCTTTTCACATATCTGTTGGCTGCATAAATGTCTTCTTTTAAGAAGTGTCTGTTCATACACTTTGCCCACTTTTTGATGGGGTTTTTTTCTTGTAAATTTGTTTAAGTTCTTTGTAGATTCTGGATATTAACCCTTTATCAGATGGGTAGATTGCAAAAATTCTCTCCCATTTTGTAGGTTGCCTGTTCACTCTGGTGGTAGTTTCTTTTGCTGTGCAGAGGCTCTTTAGTTTAATTAGATCCCATTTGTCTATTTTGGCTTTTGTTGCCATTGCTTTTGGTGTTTTAGACAAGAAGTCCTTGCCCATGCCTATGTCCTGAATGGTATTGCCTAGGTTTTCTTCTAGGGATCTTATGGTTTCAGGTCTAACATTTAAATCTTTAATCCATCTTGAATTAATTTTTGTATAAGGTGTAAGGAACAGGTCCAGTTTCAGCTTTCTACATATGGCTAGCCAGTTTTCCCAGCACCATTTATTAAATAGGGAATCCTTTCCCCATTTCTTGCTTTTGTCAGGTTTGTCAAAGATCAGATGGTTGTCGATGTGTGGTGTTATTTCTGAGGACTCTGTTCTGTTCCATTGGTCTATATCTCTGTTTTGGTACCAGTACCATGCTGTTTTTGTTACTGTAGCCTTGTAGTATAGTTTGAAGTCAGGTAGTGTGATGCCTCCAGCTTAGTTCTTTTTGCTTAAGATTGTCTTGGCAATGCAGGTGCTTTTTTGATTCCATATGAACTTTAAAGTAGTTTTTTTTCCAATTCTATGAAGAAAGTCATTGGTAGCTTGATGGGGATGGCATAGAATCTATAAATTACCTTGGGCAGTATGGCCATTTTCACAATATTGATTCTTCCTATCCATGAGCATGGAATGTTCTTCCATTTGTTTGTGTTCTCTTTTATTTTGTTGAGCAGTGGTTTATAGTTCTCCTTGAAGAGGTCCTTCACATCCCTTGTAAGTTGGATACCTAGGTATTTTATTCTCTTTGAAGAAATTGTGAATGGGAGTTCACTTGTGATTTGGCTCTCTGTTTGTCTGTTATTGGCATATAGGAATGCTTGTGATTTTTGCACATTGATTTTGTATCCTGAGACTTTGCTGAAGTTGCTTATCAGCTTAAGGAGATTTTGGGCTGAGACAATGGGGTTTTCTAAATATGCAATCATTTCATCTGCAAACAGGGACAATTTGACTTCCTCTTTTCCTAATTGAATACCTTTTATTTCTTTCTCTTGCCTGATTGCCCTGGCTAGAACTTCCAACACTATGTTGAATAGGAGTGGTGAGAGAGGGTATCCTTGTCTTGTGCCGCAAAGAACCATTCTTGTCCTGCATCCACGTAGCAGATTCTAGTTGCCTATCCAACATTCTGATACTCCCAATTCTCTCCTTCTATATTAACAGAACTCCTATGTTGATTGATGAGGCAATGTACTCAGCTATGAAAATACATCTCCAAACCTTCTTTGTAGCTAAGGTTAGCCAATGAGATATATGTGGAAGATGGATTACCCAGCAGGAAAGTAGGTGTCTTTGCACTATCCCCATTCCTTCTTCTTACTACACTAAATACAGATATAACATTTAGAGCTCCAACTGCCATCTTGGGACCATAAGACAATCTTACAGATAGGAGTTCCATGCCAAGAAGGTAGAATAGAAAGGTAGAAAGAAGCCTGGGCTACTAATAACCATGTACTGCCTACCTGTGGACTTATTTTACATAAGGAATATATTAGCGTATGACTTGGTTAAGCCACTGTTTTTGAGTCTGCTATTACTTGCAGCTGAATATAATCATAATTCATATAATCTAGAGAGATATTTCATATGCACAAGAATACACATTTAAAGCACTTAGCAATATTCACATGTAAATAATTGGTGATTAAAATATAAGAAAATTATAAATTAGTTATCTATGAATTAAAGAGGTCCTGCAAGACCCTTCTTAGGCAATGTTTTTATGTATCACTAGATTATTACATTATGATTTACTTAAATTTTTGTGTTTTCTGATTGTTAAAAGACTGCCCTAGGTGATTAGCTACAAAATTACATAATCATAACTACTAGCATACATTTAATACATACTATGTGCAAAGCATTTTACATAATAATCTCTAATTCTCACTTCAATTATATAAGTTAGCTATAATTATACCCATACCACAGATGAAGAAACTAAGGCTCAAAGAGTTAGCATAGCTTGCCCAAGGGCTTGCAGTCTCTACAAAGATGGTGTTCTTCCATTGCACTACGGTGCCTTTCTGAAACTCTAATTCCATTATTCCATTCTCTTCATGTTTCTTATTATTTTCCAAAATAATAATTAATTAACGAAGTGACTTATTTCATCTTGAGAGAGAACGTTTGAGGTGTCACCTGGGACAATCGAATAATGTGGAACGTTACATTGGCCTTTCAGAGACCAAGTCTTGAGTCACAGTATCATCCCAAAGAGTGGCTTGATGGATGAGAATTCAAATAGGGAGTATTAGAATATTGGGTAGGCAATTAGAAATCTGCAACATGAATACAGGACAAGAATGGTTCCTTGAACTTAAACAAATTCACAACAGAAAAACAAACAACCCCATCAAAAAGTGGGTGAAGGATATGAACAGACACTTCTCAAAAGAAGATATGTGGCCAAAAACATAAAAAAAAGCTCATCATCACTGGTCATTAGAGAAATGCAAATCAAAACCACAATGAGATACCATCTCACGCCAGTTAGAATGGCAATTGTTAAAAAGTCAGGAAACAACAGATGCTGGAGAGGATGTGGAGAAATAGGAACACTTTTACACTGTTGGTGGGAGTATAAATTAGTTCAACCATTGTGGAAGACAGTATGGCGATTCCTCAAGGATCTAGAACCAGAAATACCAATTGACTCAGCGATCTCATTACTGGGTACATATCCAAAGGATTATAAATCATTCTACTATAAAGATACATGCACACATGTTTATTGAAGCACTATTTACAAATAGCAAAGACTTGGAACCAACTCAAATGCCCATCAATGATAGACTGGATAAAGAAAATGTGGCACATATACACCATGGAATACTATGCAGCCATAAAAAAGAATGAGTTTATGTCCTTTGCAGGGACATGGATAAAGCTGGAATCCATCATCCTCAGCAAACTAACACAAGAACAGAAAACCAAACACCGCATGTTGTCACTCATAAGTGGGAGTTGAACAATGAGAACACCTGGACACAGGGAGGGGAACATCACACACCAGGGCCTGTCAGGGAGTTGGGGGAAAGGGAAGGGAGAGCATTAGGACAAATGCCTAATGCATGTGGGGCTTAAAACCTAGATGATGGGTTGATAGGTGCAGTAAACCACCATGGCACATGTATACCTATGTAACAAACCTGCATGTTCAGCACATGTATCTCAGAACTTAAAGTAAAATTAAAAATAAAAAAGAATGGTTCCTTGGAGAATGGCAAGTGGCAATGGTTGTGGGTAGTGAGTTGTGTGCATGTTAGGGAATAGGCCAGAGGAATTTAGGGAAGTATCATAAAGCACCAGGGATTGATGGGGCAACAAAAATGTTTGCAACTGCCACATGCACCACCAGTCAGCCCTTCCTCATAAAGTAGGCATGCATCTCGTTTTATCTTAGATCCCAACTTTGCCCAGTGCCCAACTCCTCTTCCTTTGCACTTTCCACTTGCTCAGTGTGTACTGGATCTGAGATCCTACAAGATTGACAGGGGCATCATCAAAGCAAACTGCAATACCAAGAAAAGTACACATTCCAAGTGAATTTGTGCCCTCCACTCTCAGAGCTGGAGGATTCTGAGTATATGCTCCGGGGTTGAAAATTCTTCCTTTTTGGAAGATGATTTGAACTTGAGGAAGGAAAATCACAACATGAAATACAATGCAAACAAGACATATGTGTCAGCCTTACACTTCATTATAGAAGGATGCTAAGCATATGCTCATTGAATACTTATGAACAATTTCTGCATGTAGCTATGATTCAAGATGGGAAATATTTACAGTGGCAAACTTTATTTTCACAGGCTCATAACATTGCTAGCAATGGCTCCCAATTTTACTGACATTTCCAAAGTTCTTTTCAAACAGAGAGGTGATTAGTTTTTGAAATCTGTGAAAAAGCCTTTTAGATGTTTTAACTTAATATATATATATAAAATAATTAAATATAAAATCATTGTATTGAATGTTTTCTATGCTTTAACATATTAATAATAGTTCAATATCATAACCACACAGGGTCCTCCGGGGAACTACTTTAAGATAATGCTAGCAGGTTCCCTATCAAAACCTTACATCCTGCACCCACCCATTGAAGAAAAGGGAAAACTGAGAAATATCTGCAAATAAATTTGCTCCAGAGTCTCCAAGTAAGTCAGCAGTGGATTTAGATTTCATATTTTAAGTTAAGCCACTGAAAGGAGAATAATAATAACAACACAAAACCATTCATTCGTCATCAAAGATTAATGGCTCAGGTTCTCAGCAGTGATGAAGAGCCTGCCTCATCTGAAGGAGTTATTTAAAAACTTGGGAATTATCTTCTCTACTTTAATTCATATGAAATCTCAGGATTCCTACTTATTCTATTGGTAAATTGTAGCACTGTAAACTTAAATAGAAAAAATGGAAAAAAATCTTGCAGTGTGAATTTTTTCTTAAGGATTTTTGTTCAGAATTCACAAAGTAAATATATATCTTCCAAGATACCTAACCTGACACCCTGAGTTAACAATGATTAATTTCAGAACAAGCAGTTGAATACCAAAAAACAAAATAAATGTGATGTATGAAGCACTACATCAACTTATGAAGATCCTGGTAAGAGAAATAACACGCTACCAGCTTGGGGATCCTGAGAGTACAAAATTCCCTCCAGCACTTTGAAAGAACCTTACCTGGAGACTTGCACACAGTACAAACTCAGAAATAGTTGTTGAAGCTCTGAGTGCTGTTCTTAGGAAATCTCAAAGATCACAGTTTCGTTTGGGACAGAATAGAATTCCCACAAACCAAGAGTGTTTAGAAGTTATTTTTATAACTGAATACACCCCAGTATCTAATGCCTTTGACTCATTACCTACACACCCATTGCTGTTTATTTGGGGGTTCCTGCATTGGGGCTAGGGGCTCAAATGTAGGACTAAGTGACTTCTAAGGCAATGGTTCTCAAACTTTAGCTGCATCAGAATCCCGTGGAGGATTGTTAAAATACACATTCCTTATCCCCATTCCCAGAGATTCTGGTTCAACAGGGTTTTGTGGGGTCCAGGAATTTGCATTTCTAACAAGTTTCAAGGGCAAGGCGATGCTATTAGTCCTTGCATCACACTTCGGATAGCACTGCTCTAAGGTCCTTTCGAATTCTGAGTCTACCTTTCAGAACCTGTCTTAACCATCTGTAAAATTCCTTAGAGCTCAGATTTGGGGGCGTCAACAGGTGCAAATCACCAGAAAGGAGAATCCTTCTCACATCCACCTGTCTACTCGAGGTTTCCTCCCCCGCCTGCCTCAGGCCCCAAGTCCCCGCACCGCATACTTACCCAGCTTTCCCGGGGTCAGGGGACACTCCGGACCCTGGAAACCGCCCCCAACTCTCCAGAAGAGGCTGCACCGAGCTCCTGAGCGCAGTAAACGCGCGCCTCTCGGGCGCCCGCGGCGCAGTTGGATAGAGCGCGCGCCGGAAGCCCTGGTCCGCGCCGCACGCCCTGGTCCGCGCCGCACAGCTGCAGGTGGATTCCCGCAGCGAACGCCTCGTGCCCTGAGAGGGTCTTTTAAGCCGGCGCTGACCCGTGCCCTTGGCCTGGCTCTTCCCTGGGGCTTTTAACTCTTCACAAGTTTTAATGTGAGTGTCCAGAGACGCTCCAGCTGTTTGCTGGCTTTGTTTCAGAGAAGCCGCCGGCTGCCAAATGAACTTAGGGAGTCAGAATTTCTCAGAAACCAAGGGCAATCTTTACTAGCAGCCGAGCTGCGGTCACTTCTACTACTTAGACAGAGGAATCGCCATTTGGCTCCAAGTCCCCCAATTTCTCAGAGGCAGCCTCCCAACGAAAATGCCCAAGGAGGAGCAAAGTCCTGGGGGAAGCCCTACAAGAGAAAAAGTAACGCACCCCTGATGCTAGAGGCAGCAGGAGTTTTATCCAGCAACTTCTAGAAAGGGCAGGATGGGGAAATGGAGCAGGCAACACAATGAAGTTGTGATTTTTAGTACATGGATCATAGTGAAGAACTTGGAAAGCATAGACTATTCTTACATGCATGGCTTATTTTTTGTTGGTTTGCATGGACGTGTACTCAGGTTGAGATTTTATATTACATATCTGTATAACACCTGCCAGTAAATGTACTCCTAGCTTGAGTGGTTAAGTTCAATCAATCCATTGCTTCAGCCTGCTAGCTTCTTCAGGCTGTCTGTGAAGAGATATGTTACAATTACTTACACTGATGAAAGTTTATTAAAATGTCAAGAGGAAACATAAGACATGGGAGCTCACCCTTGCTCAGCAAGAACCCGATTCTGAGATTGCTTCTGAAGTTAACTAGAAAGTTTCTAAATATGTGTTAGAAAGAGTGGGTTGGAAGAATGAAGAGAGGGAAGTGTAATGAGGACTTTCAGGATTTTCTCCTTTTATTATTAAATTTTTTTTTTTCAAAGAGAACACAAATATGTGTAAACCAAAAACTGTTTGTTTTTTTTGTTGTTTTTCATTAATAAGAAAAAACTGATGTAAGTTGAAAATGGTTTTTCTAAAAAAAAAGTGTATTTTATCTATTTTGAATTCACTTGGAATAGTCAGGGTTATGGGGTGTTCTGCACAGAACATCCTGAAATCCTGGATTTGAATGCCAAGACTTGCCCTTCGGTATCAGTGAGTCTCAGATTTGTCCAGGTTTTAACGGAAAATGTTCCATTGGTCACCAGAGTGAAGCACAGAGAGAATCTATGGGCTGGAATATCAAGAAGCTAGAGTCTGGGGGGACAAAATATACATCTATTTCACATTCATGCCTGGCCCAGGCCGAAATTTTGCTACTATGATGTCCACATACCCTCAGTGTGTAAAGATTTATTAATTGAGATGTTCTTCCCCAACCAAGAGTAATGCCCCAAGGGAGAAAGAAGGCCTACTTTATACTTCAGGAGAAGGGTGGGGTTTTGCCTTCACAATTAGGGTAATATCCAAATAGTACTGAAGCCAAAAGGAAGTTGTGGGTTTGTGTTTTGGGGGTTCTTTTGTTGTTTAGAAACTTCTCTAGAAAGTATTATTGTAGAAATTTTTTTACTTGCAATATATTTGTGATTTAACTTTCACAATCATGAAATAAAAGTGGCTCCAGGAATCTACAACTTTTCCACAGATTTTAACATTTCCTTTCCTTTCTTCTGCTTATAAAATTGAAACAAGGTTTTCCCAAAATAAATCATAATGTGAAATTTATTCACTATTTAGAATTGCATTTATTCTATTAAGGATATATTAACTTAATTTACTTCAGAAAGTAGAAGTTTGGAGTTTAATATCTGAAGGAATTCAGGCACTAAAAGTGCCAACTTTTCAATTTTCTAACAGAATAGAACACAATTGAACTTACTTTATCTGACTTGGGTTTCACTTTCCATTTTCTCTAGAAAATAAAAAGATATTGAATAAAAGAAAAGTAATCCAGAATTTCAAAAGTGTGGAAAAGACATTAAATTTTTTTTCAGGCTTCATCATTAGTTATATTTGCCTTTTATTAACCCAACCTTCATAATCTGTATTTCTGCAGCTGTTTTAAATAAGAAGATAACATCAGAGTAAAAGATAGCAAATTCTGCTCTACCCTGCACTCGTTGATTCCCACTGGGAAATATTGATGGTATGTCTGCAAATGTGAAAACCGTACTATCAGAAATAGGCAAGATGATTTTGGATGTGAGATGATTTAAATGGAATATGATTAACTTTCTCATTGATGCAATCAGAACTATTAAAAGATAAAATAGCATTTTTCTTACATGTGACTCAATGTCCTTTGGTCATGCCTATATACCAACAGATAAAAAGTTAACAATTAAAATGCATTATCGATAACTGAAGCCAAATACTTTCCTCTCTGTGTACTAAATAATATTGGAATATAGTATACTTTACTTTCTCTATGTTTAAGCCATGCCGAAAATAAGCAAAAATGACTTAGCTACTTGCTTTAAGAAATACTTGCTCCTAATGGACAAGGCTGTGACTAATCAAAGTGGCTTACTTATCTATATCAACCAGCTTGCTCTAGAAGACTTGTTTCAACTCCTTCATCTCCCCGTGTCCAACAATTTAAAGCTATCATGTCACGAACTCTGCCAAACCCAAAGAGTTTTCCGTCTTGCAAAACCCACCTGAAATTCACCCAGTCTAGGACCTAAACCCTATAAATATCCTCCCTGGGTTCCTTTCTGAGACACTACTAAGACTGTCAATGTTGTGTTTACCTTTACTGCAGTAAGTTGGATCAACAGGTTTTTCTGATAGTCTTCTGGAAAACACAACAGTTGGCAGCACACTGTAATCATGGCTTATTACTTCATGTTACAGTATCACAGTGGAAGGTGAAGCCAACAGTGTGTGGATGGTTGGGGGTCGTAGAGTCAATAAAGCCTTAATGAGAGGGTGACATGAGAGGTGGGTCTGAAAAAGTCCTAAGTTCAACTCTGCAAGACTGGGGAGCCAAGTCTCATGAGGAGAAACCCTCCACCTCCAACAGCAATTGGAACCAGAAAGCAATGTCTGTACTGGATATCCATCTGCTTTTTTTTTTGAATTCCTGAAATTACATTCCCTTCCCCCTCCTAGGAAACATTTATTCTATCTCTACAATCCAAAGACAAATGCTGTTTTGCCAGGGTCCCATCTCCCTAGCCACAGTTCTTTGGGGATGGCCCTTGACCCAAGTTTGACCAGTCAGCCCTAGGATCCCAGGTTCAAAAAAACTGGGTTTCCATTCCTCAGAAGATAAATGTGACCCTGAAGGTTGATGGAAACCACATTCCAGTCACTGTGAAAAAAGTCTATCTAAGGATTAGAGTTGACATGTGGAGAAGAGAGATGGAGAGCTTCAGGGGGTGTTAGAATCTCAAATTCTAGTTATCTTTAATACTTTGTCCTTCCCTCAAGGTGTGCTCATTGGTGAGGAAATAGCCCTCCTTGGCCTAACCTAATTAAGCTGTGTTTCATTCAATAAAATATAATTGCTATTCACCTAGTTAATCGTGGTTGTATTAGTGAAACCATATCTTACTCATTTTTGTATCTCAGAACCGTCTTGAAGTAACTTAAAAATAAAAGAGCACCATAATAGGAAAAGTAAACAGTAATATTATCCATTTCCATTTGAAATAAAGAGCTAACCACAGGAAACTTCAGAATATCTCATGTCCCGCTCAATGAATGAAGTCACATACTTAAGTACACACCACATACAAGGTTCAACAACCACTGCTAAGCAAGTGGACAAGTTCTCAGTACATCAAGTCACCAAGGAGGGCTTGTAGGAGTAGCTCAAATTTCAAAAAACATGCAATGCCTTAAACCAATGCTGTCGGGATATTAAAATTAATAATGTAAGAAATAGTTAAGGCTAATTTACTGGTACAAGTTAAATCTTAAAGGAGCCGCCATAACCTGATGGGTTCTGAACCTGTTTTCTGGCTTTTGTTTTATTAGGTTTTGGTGAGGTCAGGCTTCAGATTACATTTTCCCAACTGGATTGTGTCTCAAAGTCAATAGAGAGTTTTTTTTAAAAGGCATATATATAGGCCCAACCTAAGGCCAATTAATTCAGAATCTCTGGGGAATGGTGTCAGAAATTTGTATATTTTTAGGCTTCAGCATTGATTCATTTGAGCAGGAAGAGTTGAGCAACTCTAGTTCAAAGAAATGATTCACATACTCAAATGTGCAAAACCCTCATTAACAAACCACAATGCCCATTCATTTTGCCCTTGTTATGAGTAGGTCTTTCCACTGAAATCACTTCCATTATGTGAATCCTGTAACTGCTACTTCTACCTTTGAAAATATCCTGAGTGTTTATTATTATTGCTGTCTAACAAATAAACACTGGCTTGGATGTCAAGAATCCAGAGAAACCAATATAGACCTAGCGATTTATATACAAGCAAGTAAAAGATGTAAAAGAAATGCCAAGCTGGGAGTGGTGGCTCACGCCTGTAATCCCAGCATTTTGGGAGGCTGAGGCGGGTGGATCATGAGGTCAGGAGATCAAGGCCATCCTGGCTAACATGGTGAAACCCCGTCTCTACTAAAAATACAAAAAATTAGCCAGGCATGGTGGCACACGCCTGTAGTCCCAGCTACTCAGGAGGCTGAGGCAGGAGAATTGCTTGAACCCAGGAGGCAGAGTTTGCAGTGAGTTGAGATTGCACCACTGCACTCTACACTGGGTGACAGAGTAAGATTCCATCTCAAAAGAAAAAAGAAATGCCAAATGCTTTGGGTCCTTTTCTGCTGATTTTACTTGGTACTCTTGGGAAACATTTCCTGTCTAATTTATTGAGTAACTAAGATCTTTGTTTACATATCTGAATTTTTCATTATTCCTTCCTGAATCACCAAACATCTGTCAAGCGTAAGCATGAAATTCTGTAAACATGTCCCTGAAGGATATTAAATAACAAGAAATTTCAAATCCTCAATGTTAATTCTACTGTATACATCCAATTACTAAAAGATACATTGGCAAGATGTTATGACTTGATGCTCACTGTAATTATTCCAGCTGTATACACCTGAAATTTCTGTACTGTGCTGCCTTCATCCCCTAAAAGGAAAAGCAAGACAAGAAACAATTAGAAAAGGAAATGTGGGTAAGTCAATGAGTGTTAGTGTTTTGGCCATCACGTAAGTCTGAAAGATGTCTTTAGTGGATGGTTAAGAGTTTTTTGTTGTTGTTGTCCTTGTTAGAAAAGATTTTATAAAAAGATTCCAAATGCTTCTCAAATTCAAATGTGTAGAAAATATAAAACAAATGAAATTTCTGTGACTATCACCCAGAAACTTGGGTGAGAATTTATAAAAATGAAGAAAGTTTTAACAATCAATGTCATGGTTCAGATTTTACACTTCCAAGGAGCAGTTGAAGTCCTTTTAATTCAATTATATTTTCAACAGCCCAGAGGGACAATTCTAAAACTCTTAAAAAATTTTTTTAAATTTGTGGGTACATAGTAGGTGTATATATTTATGGGAAACATAAGATATTTTGGTATAGGCATGCAATATGTAATAATTGCATCAGGATAAATGGGGTATCCATCATCTCGAGCATCTTTCTTTTGTGTTACAAGCAATCCAATTACCCTCTTAGGTATTTTTAAATGTACAACTAAATTATTAATGACTACATAAACAGAACTAAAGACAAAAAACACATGATTATCTCAATAGATGCAGAAAAGGCCTTTGATAAAATTCAAAATCGCTTCATGTTAAAAACTCTCAATAAACTACGTATTGAAGGAACATATCTCAAAATAATAAGAGCTATATATGACAAACACACAGCCAATATCATACTAAATGGGCAAAAGCTAGAAGCTTTCCCCTTGAAAACCGGCACAAGACAAGTATGCCCTCTCCCACCACTCCTATTCAACATAGTATTGGAAGTTCTGGCCAGAGCAATCAGGCAAGAGAAAGAAAAAAGGGGTATTCGAATAGGAAGAGAAGACATCAAATTATCTTGGTTTTTAGATGACATGATCCTATATCAAGAAAACATCATCTCAGCCCAAAAGCTTCTTAAGCTGATGAGCAATTTCAACAAAGTCTCAGGATACAAACTCAATGTACAAAAATTGCCACCATTCCTATACACCAACAACAGGCAAGCAGAGAGCAAAATTGTGAATGTGTTAGTTTGCTGAGGATAACAGCTACAATTGCTACAAAGAGAATAAAATACCTAGGAATACACCTAATAAGGGAAGTGAAGGACCTCTTCAAGGACAACTACAAACTAATGCTCAAAGAAATCAGAGATGACACAAACAAATGGAAAAACATTCCATGCTCATGGATAGGAAGAATCAATATCATGAAATGGTCATCCTGCCCAAAGCAATTTATTGATTCAGTGCTATTCCCATTAAACTACTGTTGACATTCTTTACAGAATTAGAAGAAACTATTTAAAACTTCATATGAAACAAACAAACAAAAAAGCCTGAATAGCCAAGACAATTCTAAGCAGAAAGAACAAAGCTGGATGCATCATGCTACCCAATTTCAAACTATACTACAAGGCTACAGTAACCAAAACAGCATGGTACTTGTACAAGAACAGACACATAGACCAGAAGAGAATAGAGAACCCAGAAATAAGACCACACACCTACAACTATCTGATCTTCAATAAACCTGACAAAAAAAAAAAAGCAATGAGGAAAGGACTCCCTATTCAATAAATGGTGCTGAGAGAACTGGCTAGCTATATGCAGAAAATTGAAACTGGACCCTTTCCTTGCACCTTATATAAAAATTAACTAAAGATGGATTAAAGACTTAAATGTAACACATAAAACTATAAAAAACCCTGGAAGAAAATCTAGGCAATATCATTCAGGACATAGGTGAGGCAAAGTTTTTATGAAGACACCAAAAGTAAGTGCAACAAAAGCAAATATTGACAGTTGGGATCTAATTAAACTAAAGAGCTTCTGCACAGCAAAAACAAAACAAAAACTATCATCAGAATGAACAGACAACTTACACAATGCAAGAAAATTTGTGCCATTTATCCATCTGACAAAGGTCTAATATCCAGAGTCTACAAGGAATTTAAACAAATTTACAAAAAAAACTCCATTAAAAAGTGGGCAAAGGACATGAACAGACACTTCTCAAAAGAAGACATTCATGTGGGCAGCAAACATATGAAAACAAGCTCAATGTTACTGATCATTAGAGAAATGAACATCAAAACCACAATAAGATACCATCTCATGCCAGTCAGAATAGCAATTATTAAAAAGTCAAGAAGCAACAGATGCTGGTGAGGCTGCAGAGAAAAAGAAACACTTTTACACTGTTGGTGGGAATGTAAATTAGTTCAACCACTGCAGAAGGCAGTGTGGTGATTCCTCAAAGATCTAGAAGCAGAAATACCATTTGACCCAGCAATCCCATTACTGGGAATATAAATCATTGTGTTGTAAAGATACACGCATGCGTATGTTCACTGAAGCATTATTCACAATAGTAAAGACATGGAATCAACTGAAATGCCCATCGATGATAGACTGGATAAAGAAAATGTGGTACATATACATCATGGAATACTATACAGTCACAAAAAAGAATGAGATCATGTCCTTTGCAGGGACATGGATGGAGCTGGAAGCTGTTATCCTCAGCAAACTAACACAGGAGCGGAAAACCAAACACCGCATGTTCTCACTTATAAGTGGGACCTGAATGATAACAGATGGACACATGGAGGGGAATAACACACACTGGGGCCTATTGGGCGTGAGGTGGGGAGTGGGAAGGAGAGCATCAGGAAGAATAGCTAATGGATACTGGGTTTAATACCTAGGTGATGGGTTGATCTGTGCAGCAAACCACCATGGCACGCATTTACCTATTTAACAAACCTGCACATTCTGCACATGTACCCTGGAACTTTAAAAGTTGTAGAAAAAAAATATATATACGTATATAAGCCTGGAGTGGTGGCTCACTCCTGTAATCCCAGCACTTTGGGAGGCCAAAGGCGGGGGGATCATCTGAGGTCAGGAATTCTGAGACCAGCCTGGCCAACATGGTGAAACCCTGTTGCTACTAAAAATACAAAAATTAGCCAGGTGTGGTGGTGCACGACTGTAATCCCAGCTACTTGGGAGGCTGAGGCAGAAGAATCACTTGAACCTGGGAGGCAGAGGTTGCAGTGAACTGAAATCGCACCACTGCACTCCAGGCTGGGCGACAGAGCTAGACTCCATCTCAAAAATTAAATTAAATTAAATTAAAATAGGCGGAAATAATTATTAGTGACTATAATCACCTTGTTGTGCTATCAATACTAGTTCTTTTTCATTGTTTCTATTTTTTGCACCAATTAACCATCCCCACTTCCTCCACCCCCACTACCCTTCCCAGCTTCTGATAATCTGGTAATCATCTTTCTACTCTCTATCTCCATGAGTTCAATTGTTTTAATTTTTTGCTCACACAAAGTTTGTTTTTCTGTGCCTGGTTTATTTCCAGTTCCATCCATGTTGTTGCAAATGACAGGATCTCATTCTTTTTTATGGCTGACTAGTATTCCATTGTGTGTATGTACCATATTTTCTTTATCCATTTGTCTGTTGATGGACATTTAGGTTGCTTCCAAATCTTGGCTATGGTGAATAGTGCTGCACAAAAACGTGGGAGTGCAGATATCATTTCAATATACTGATTTCCTTTTCTTTGGGTTTATACTAAGCAGTGGGATTGCTGGATTGTATAGTAGCCCATTTTTAGTTTTTTGAGACAACCTCCCATTCTGTAGGTTGTCTCTTCACTTTGTTGATTGTTTCCTTTGCTGTGCAGAAGCTTTTTCACTTGATGTGATCCCATTTGTCCATTTTTGCTTTGGTTGCCTGTGCTTGTGGGGTATTACTCAAGAAACCTTTGCCCAGGCCAATGTCCTGCAGTGTGTCCGCAATGTTTTCTTTTAGTATTTTTATAGTTTGAAGTCTTAGATTTAAGTCTTTACTCCATTTTGATTTGATTTTTGTATATGATGAGAGATAGGGGTCTAGTTTCATTCTTTTGCATATGGATATTCAGTTTTCCCAGCACACTTGATTAAAGAGATTGTCTTTTCCCCAATGTATGTTCTTGGCACTTTTGTCAAAAATGAGTTTACTACAAATAGATGAATTTGTTTCTGGGTTTTCTATTCTGTTCCATTGGTCTATGTGTCTGTTTATAATGCCAGTACCATGCTGTTTTTGTTACTATAACTCTATAGTATAATTTGAAGTAAGGTAATGTTATTCCTCCAGTTTTGTAGTTTTTTCTCAGGATAGCTTTGGCTATTTTGGGTCTTTTGTGGTTCCATATGAGTGTCTGGATTGTTTTCTCTATTACTGTACAGAATGTCTTTTGTATTTTGATAAGCATTGCATTGAATCTATAGATTGCTCTGGGTAGTATGGGCATTTAACAATATCGATCCTTCCAATCCACAGCATGGAGTATTTTTCCATTTTTTTGGTGTCCTCTTCAATTTCTTTCATTAATGTTTAACAGTTTTCACTGCATAGATCTTTCATTACTTTGATTAAGTTAATTCCTAGGGGTTTATTTGTAGCTATTGTAAATGGGATTATTTTCTTGATTTCTTTTTCCAATTGTTTGCTGTTGGCATGTAGAAATTCTACCAATTTTGTTTGTTGATTTTGTATTCTGCAACTTTACTGAATTTGTTGATCACTTCTAATAGCTTTGTGGTGGAGTCTTTAGGTTTTTCCAAATATAAGATCATATCATCTGCAAACAAAGATAATTTGACTTTGTCCTATCCAATTTGGATGTCCTTTATGTCTGATTGCTCTAGCTAGGACTTTTAGTACTATGTTGAATAACAGTGGTGAAAGTGGACATCCTTGTCATGTTCCAGATCTTAAAGGAAATGCTTTCAGTTTTTTTCTCATTCAGTATGATACTAGCTGTGGGACTGTCATATATAGCTTTTATTATGTTGAGATATGTTCCTTTTTATACATTCCTGTGATAAATCCTACTTGTTCATGATGAATGATCTTTTTAACGTGTTGTTGAATCAGTTTGGTAGTATTTTTTGAGGATTTTTGCATCAATATTTATCAAGGATATTGCCCTATAGTTTCCCTTTTTTTTGGTGTGTCTTTTTCTGGTTTTGGTATCAGGATAATACTGGCCTTGTTGAATGATTTTGGAAGTACTTCCTTTTCCTCTATTTTTTCTGAATAGTTTGAGTAGGACTGGTATTAGTTCTTCTTTAAATGTCTGGTAGAATTCAGCAGTGAAACCATCAGGTCCTGGGCTTTTCTTCACTGAGATATTTTTTATTACAGCTTTGATCTCATTACTTACTTGTCTGTTCAGGTACTGGATTTCTTCATGGTTCAACCTTGGTAGAATGTATGTGTCTAGGAATTTATTTATTTCTTCTAGATTTTCCAATTTATTGGCATATTGTTGCTCAGAGTAGCCACTAATGATCCTTTGAATTTCGGTGGTATCAGTTGTAATGTCTTCTTTATTCATTTCTGATTTTATTTATTTTGGTCTTCTCTCTTTTTTTCTTAGCCTGGCTAAAACTTTGTCAATTTCATTTATCTTTTCAAGAAACCAACTTTTCATTTCATTAATCTTTTGTATTGTTTCTTCATTTTGATTTTATTTATTTCCACTCTGACCTTTATTATTTCTTCTACTAATTTGGGGTTTGGTTTGCTCTTGCTTTTCTAGTTTTTGAGATGCATCATGAAGTTATTTATTTGAAGTTTTTCTTTTTTGATGTAGATGCTTATAGCCTATATCTGTAAACTAGCTATAAACTTCCCTCTTAGTACTGCTTTTGCTGTATCTCTTAGGTTTTGGTATGTTGTGTTTCCATTATCATTTGTTTCAAGAAATTTTTCTATTTCCTTCTTAATTGAAACACTCTTTTACTCCTGACTGAAGAGCAGAATCCTCTGCTGGGCGGGTACTCTTGACCACCACCCACTTCACCAAATCAATGGGGTTTGTGTAAAGACAGTGACAACTGATTTTGCTTATACAGAGACCACACAGTGAGGAACCCAAGGGTTGTACTGACAACATCTCTTCAGAGGAAAACCACACATTAGAAAACATTTATTCGTCATGTCCACATGTGGTTCCATAATAAGACAATTTATTTGACTTTTTAAAATTTAAGATGGTAGAGCTCATGTCAAGCATTCTTACCATAGTATGTATAAATAAATAAATACATACATACATACATAAAAAATATTCTTGCTACATTGTGGTTGGGGTTTTCAGAAATTTTCTAATCCAGAAGATAATAAGTTATTTTCATGAATCAAGACAAATGAGAGTTTTATCTAAGCCCTCCTAACTGAACAAACAAGATATAGTTTTATGGACACTTAGTAAAGGGAGACTCCATCTCAAAAAAAAAAAAAAAGGAAAGAAAGAAAGAAAAGAAAAGCTCTCTTGCATCTGATTTTCTCCTTACTAGTATTAGAAATGTCAATGACCATGATTCCTACAACCAAATGTCTTGAATATTATTCAATATCTCAAGAATTTGCTGATTAGGTCTTCTGAGCAATGCTATCTAACGTCAGTAGGCCTTCATTGCCATTTCACAAGCTTCTTATTTGTTCTATTCTGATTTTACTGAATTTACCACATCTATTTCAAACTTTTCTGTACCAATCAATCTCTTAAACTCCACACCCTCTTTGTCAATTTCCTAATAAGAAATAGTAGCAAACAATATTGGCTTCCTACTCACAATTCAGTATGCCATTCTTCTTCACTAGCAGTGTTTGAGTTTTGTTCAAGTATCTACGCTCTGTGTGGCATTGTACTTAGGGAAATTGACCATATTGCCAACTCAGTTTAAACCAAGTAGTTTATGTTAGTCCTATTCTTGCCAGTGGGCATGTGAAATTCTTCTAGCCAATTATACACAAAGGAAGATCCAAACATTTTTTCTTTTTATTTATACACCCTGTGGTAAGAACACTTGATATGAGCTCCACCTTCTTAAATTTTTAAGTGCACAATACAGTATCAGTAACTATAGGCATAATGTTGTACAGCAGATCTCCAGAACTTACTCATCTTGCATAACTGAAACTTTATACCCCATTTTCTCCTCCTCACAAGCCCCTGGCAACCACCATTCTATTCTCCATTTCTATGTGTTTTACTATTTTAGATACTTCATAAAATAGAATTATACAGTATTTGTCCCTCTGTGATTGATGTATTTCATTTAGCATAATGTCCTTTAGGTTCATCTATGTTGTCACATATTGCAGGATTTCCCTTTCTTTTAGAGCTGAATAATATTTCATTGTATGTATATACCTCATTTTCTTTATCCATTCATTATTGATAGACATTTAGGATGTTTCCAGATCTTGACTATTGCGAATAATGCCTCAACAAACATAGGAGTGCATATATATCTTTGAGATCCTAATGTTCACTCTTTTGGATGTATACCCAGAAGTGGAATTGCCAGATCATATGGTGTTTTGTTTTTAATTTTTTGAGAAACTGCCATACTGTTTTCCACGGTGGCTGTGCCATTTTACATTCCCATCAACTGTGTACAACAGTTTCAATTTCACCACATCCTCACCAACACTTATCTTTTGTTTATTTGATAACAGCTATTCTAACAGGTATGCAGCGACGTCTCACTGTGGTTTTAATTTCATTTCCCTGGATGATTAATGAGGCTGAGCATCATTTCGTGTACTTGTTGCCATTTGTATTTCTTTTCTGAAGAAATGTCTTCATTTCTTGGTCCCTTGCCCAATCAGATTATTAGTTTTGTTTACTTTAGTTTTGATTTTCATTGTTTTTTTTGTTGTTTGTTTTTTAAGTTTTATTTTTGCTGTGGAATCATAGGAGTTCCTTGTTTTGGGTTTTGTTTAAGATATTAATCTCTTGTGAAATATATGGTTTGCAAATACTTTCTCCTATTCTGTAGGTTGCCTTTTCAATCTGTTGACTGTTTTCTTTGCTGTGCAGATGTGTTTTAGTTTGATATAGTCTCACTTATCTAATTTTGTTTTTGTTTTCTGTACTCTGTGTCATATCCAAGAATAATTGCTAAGCCCAATGTCATGAAGTATACATCTATGTTTTCTTCTAGTAGTTTTACAGTTCCAGGTTTTACATTTACATCTTTGATATTTGTGTATGGTGTAAGATAAAGGTTCAATTTCATTCTTTTGCATGTGGATATTCAGCTTTTCCAACACCATTTATTGAAGAGACTATCTTTTCCCCATTATGTATTCTTGGCACCCTTGTCCAAGATCAGCTAACTGTATGTATATGGGTTTACTTCTGGGCTATCTATTCTATTCTGTTGATTTATATGTTTGTTTTTATGTCAATGCCATACTGTTTTGATTACAATAGCTTTATAATAGAGTTTGAAATCAGGAGGTATAATGCCCCCAGCTTTGTTCTTCTTTTTCAATTTGCTTTGGCTATTCAGTGTCTTGTGATTTCACATGAATTTAAGGATTCTTTTCTTTATTTCTGTAAAAAAAATTCATTGGAATCTTGATAGGGATTATATTGAATCTGTAGATTATTTTGAGTAGTATAGACATTTTAACAATATTAACTTGTTCAATCCATCAGCATGGAATATCTCTGCATTTATTTGTGTCTTCTTTAACTTTTTTTATGAACAATTTACATATTTTAGTGTACAAGTCTTTTACCTCTTTGGTTAAGTTTATTTTTAAGTATTGTATCATTTTGATGCTCTTATAAATGAAATTTTTTCTTAATTTCCTTTTCAGATAGTTTGTTGTTAATGTATAAAATGCAAATGATTTTTGTACATTGATTGTATAACTTTACTGTATTTGTTTATTAGTTCTAACAGGTTTTTGTGGAGTCATTGAGATTTTCTACATATGAGATAATGTCATATGCAGATAATTTTACTTCTTTTTTATTTACTTACTTATTATTGATACAAAATATTTTACATACTTATGAGGTACACGTGAGTATTTGTTACATGCATAGACTGCAATGATCAGGTCAGGGTATTTGGGGTATCCATCACCTTGAGTATTTATCATTTCCATGTGTTGGTAACATGTAAAGTCCTCTCTTTTAGCTACTTTGAAATATATAAAAACTTGTTGCTAACTATAATCGCCCTACTCAGCTCTCAAATATTGGGGCTTATTTTTTCTATCTAACTGTACATTTATCTCACTAAGCAACCTCTTTTTTATTCCCTCCTCCTATCCACACACTCTTTCCAGCCTCTGATATCTGTCATTCTGTTCTCTATCTTTATGAGATCAGTTGTTTTTTAGTTCCCACATATGAGCAAGAACATGTGACATCTGTCTTTCTGTGCCTGGCTTATTTCACTTAACATAATGACCTGCAGTTCCATTCATGTTTCTGCAAATGACATGATTGTGTTCTTTTATATGGCTGAATAACAATGTGTATATATACCACATTCTCTTTATCCATTCATCTATTGATGGTCATTTAGATTGATTCCATATCTTTATCTCTTTGTAGAATTCTTTAGGTTCATATTATTTGGGACACATTAGGATTTATGAATTGAAATTAGATGTCCATTTTCCTGCCCCAAATTTGGGTGGTTTTCATGCATTATTTCTTTAAATAAGATTTCTGTCCCTTTTTCTCTCTCTTCTCCTTCTGGAACTCTTGAAATGCATATATTAGCTCCTGTGATGGTATCCCATAATTCCCTTATGATTTCTACACTCTTTTTTATTCTTTTTTTTTTCTTTTTGCTCCTCTGACTGAAGAATCTCAAATTACTTGCCCTCAAGTTCATTGATTTTTTTCCGCTTAATTAAATCTACTGTTGAACCTCTCTACTGATTTTTTTTAGTTCAGTTATTATATTCTTCAGTCCCAGAATTTCTGTTTGGTTCTTCTTTATTATTTTTATCTCTTTGTTAATATTCTCATTTTGTTTGTGTAATGTTCTCCTGTTTCATTTAGTTATATATCTGTGTTCTCTTCTAACTCACTGAACTTTTTAAAGACAATTATTTTGAACTCTTTGTCAGGCAATTCACAGATCACCACTTTTTTAGGTTCAATTAATAGAAATTTAGTTCATCCTTTTGATTGTGTGGTGTTTTTCTGATTCTTCATGTTTCTTGTAGCTTTGCACTTCTGTCTGTGTATTTGGAGAAACGGCTCTCTCTCCCACTTTTTAGAAACCGGCTTTGAGTAGGAAAGACCTTCACCAGTTAGCTTGGCTAGAGAGATTCTAGGCCTTTGTTCCTAGTTGCCTTAGGCATCCAGCCTTTTTTTCCAGAAGCCCATAATCTCTCGCTCCTTCTGGTATCTGACTATGTTAGTTCCATCAATGCTTTGTGTGTGGTGAGATGGAAGCTAGCCCCTTGGGCAATGCACTGAAAGGCTGGGTACACTGGGAGCATGTTCCACTCTTCCCTTTTTCCCTTGGCATAAACCTTCAGTCATACACTCTTTTCTAGCCTTACAGAGTCATGCCAGCCACAGGTGCCTTGGGAATCTAGACTATGCCAGTTTCTTCAGTGCTCTAGGGGCTGAAACCAGCCTCTTAGGGAGCATACTACAGGACCAGAGACATTAGAGCCATACTTCTGATTTCTCCCTCTGTCCTAGAGGAGAGGCCTCAGTTCTACGCCTTCTCCTTGATCCCCAGAACAATGCTGGCTGCAGGAAAGAGCCTGTCTAGTAGCTTCCCCAGGCACACAGGTTATACCAGTACTTTCAACACTCCATTGAGGTGAAACAGAAGCTAGCTCCTTAGAGAGTGCACTGAAAGTCAAGAGAGATTGACATTTGCCCCCCCTCTTTCCTTCTTTCCAGAGAGGAGTTGCAATCTCTCTAAATGCTTAGTTGCATTGCCTTGGGGGAAAGGCTGACATAGGTAAAATAAAATTGCTCTTCATATTTGTTTTGGTGCAGCTGATTCCAATTTTGTGTTCATCTGGGGTATTGCAACTGCTTAACTGGATTCTGGACTTCCATGAAGGTATTTTGTTACTTATTAATAAATTTATGTTTCTGTTGGGGGACAAGGACTAGGACTTTCTATTACGGCACCTTTTGACATCACTTTCTGTTTTCTCTTTTTTAAAAAAGTACACTCTATTTTCTTCTCCTGGCATTATCACAGTCAAGTGAGATGCTTGTTGCTACAGCAGGCATCTTGTGATTAGCTTCACGATTAATGGAAAAAACCTGGGACTTAGATGATGTCATTGAGCAGATGCAGCTCGTAGCCTGTGGCTCCCCTTCCCTTGGACTTCTTGTTATCTGAGACAATAAATATCCTTATTAAAACAGTCAGCTAGGTTAGAGTTTTCTATGACTTGCTGCTTGTGAGGATCCTAACTGAAACAACACTTTGATGTTGCTTTACCTAAACTGCTAAGGTTACTTAAACTGCTAAATCTCAGCCTTCATTCTCCTGAATTTTTACACAGTGTTAGGTTTTCTTGGCCTCACCACCCAATGTTTTCTTCTTTGTTTTTGGAGAGACCATACACTCTAGGCTTTATTCTCATATTTTGTGACATTTCTTCCTCGACTCCATGTCCTCCTTCAGCCTCCTACCTGTGGCCACATCAAATTTCAATACCTGACCTTTGGCTCTGCTTCCCCTGCATGCTGAACCAATTTTCAGTTTAATCTTGCAACTCTGAGCATGTATGTACAAACACCATGCCTACAAGACTCTGTTTCAGTGTTAGTCCCACATCTCCCACTGTCTGATGAACAGTGCTGTCTGGACATTCCATGACATCTCAATATTGACATATCCACAAGCAAGATTACAATCTTTCTCCAGAAGCCCAGCAACTCTGCAAGCCCGTATTTTTCTCAGTGCCACAGATATTCTCCCAGAATCAAACTTCAAAGTCATTTTTTATTATGCTGTTCTTTACTCTCTATAAAGATAGTCATCAAGCATGAAGAACCTGCTTAGGCTATCTATCATCCCTTTTTACTTGCCCTTCTGTCTCTACCCACATTGTTGCTACAGAATCTGCCATATTTATCTAAGATCTGCCCCCTGGCCACTATTCATTGGCTTAGAGGTGGAAATCTGACCCAAGCTATAGTCCCAATGATGGTTCATCCCTGAGGAATGGCAACTTAGATCACTCCCTTTCTGGGAGCCTAGACTTAAATTTGGGAGCCATCAGTGACCAGGTTTTCTACCATATGGGTGGGATAAGTTGAAAAAGCCTGACTGAAGAGAGAGAAAAAGTAAAAATTAGCCAACAGAGAGAGAGAGAGGAGCAGAAATTTTAAATGGAGAAAACATCTGATGGAGTTCTAAACTTGGTCCCAGTTGTTTCTGCAATCTAGCTTTAGCCCTCACCTTGAAGTCTACAAGATATCCCCAAGTCCTTACAACGAAATCCCTCAGTTCAAACCTGGTTTTTGTTATCTGCACTAAAAAAGACATATTTTGTGTAAGATCTTACTGATATTTTCTTTGAAATATTATTTTCTTTCCATTCTCTAAACACCTGCTTTAAGTTCTCATCCCCAACTGGCTCTCAACTACATTCCCTACCTCCAATATCTTTGCTGCCTGATATGTCATGTGGTCCAATTCAAGGTTAACCTTCTTAAATATTGCTTTGCATATGCTATTCTCTTTTTGAAAAATCTTTCATGGATCTCTATTGCCTATGTAATTTAATACAATTTAATGTTTACTCGTACTTTGTATAACCAGGTATGCAAGGTCTTTGACGATGTGGTTCATACATTTTTCAAAGTTCTTACACATTTTACAAATGTGAATCTTCTACTTCAGCTAATTTTGTCTTCTAATTTTTTAGCATGTTATGCAAAATTTTGTATATTTCGCTTTACTTACATTGTTTTCCCATTCTGCTTATTTATAAACATCCTTTCTTTAATGCAGAATTGTAGATTGTCTCTCTTTTTTTCTTTCTTTTTTTTACTACTTCTGTTTGTCAAAAAAATCATCTCTTGTGTGAACTTTGGAGTGGTAGAGTGCAATGTTTATTCATAATTTTTTTTTCTTCTTCCACAACTTTGTCATGATTTACTGTGAGATAAGTATAGCTCTCCACCTCCATTTATTATGGGTTTGGCCTTATGATGTACATTGACCGATGGAATATAAACAAACACAACAGTACCTTTTTTTCTGGTTAAAGTTTTAAGAAGTATAGAGTTTCCACCAACCCTCTTGGCTCTTCACATCTTTGCCAGGTGAAGACCATAATTCAGGTTGCCAGATGAAAATTCATAGAGCAGACCTGAACCCAAACAGAAGCTGAAATCCATCTCAGCCCAGCTGAGTCTAGCCCATAATCAGCTGGACCACAGTTTAAAAGTCATGATAAAGAACTGTTTATTGTTTTAAACTACTGAGATTGTGGGGCGGGGCGGGGGGTTGCTTGTTACACAGTACTGTAACAGGAAAAAATACTCCGTACTATGCTTTTAGTCTTTTGAACAAAGACACATGGTCCTAAAAGGGGTTTAAGTCTGCTTGACCATGGGTTGAGGTGAAGGCTGAAAACAATTTTTTTCCCTCAGGTGAAGCACTGCTAGAGTCTCCTTATGGAGAATTGCTGTGTTTTATGAAATCTGTCATCGTCAAGGTAATTGTCAATGATGTGGTGTCCTTAATTTGCAGAAATGATGGGAGATTATAGGTAGTATGTGTCCCTCTCTGATGATGTGACTTGATGATTCTTCAGTTAGAGAAAATATTTGGAGAGAAAACATTTTCATGAAATGCCTGCTCAAAAATGATTGAGTTTCCTTTTCCCACAACATGTGTACTTTCTGATATGGGAATGAACACAGTCCCACTTTCTGTTGATGGATGAGAAGGATATGGAAGATTTGAAATCCTAGCACTTCGGGAGGCTGAGGTGGGGGACCACTTGAGCTCAGAAGTTCGAGACCAGACTGGGCAACATGGCGAAACCTCGTCTCTACCAAAACTACAAAAACTAGTTGGGCATGGTGGTGCATGCCTGTTGTCCCAGCTACTCAGGAGGCTGAAGTGGGAGGACCGCTTGAACCTGGGAGACGGAGGTTGCAGTGAACCAAGATTGCACCACTGCACTTCAGCCTGGGTGACAGAGGGAGAGCCAGTCCAGAAGGAAGGAAGGAAGGAAGGAAGGAAGGAAGGAAGGAAGGAAGGAAGGAAGGAAGGAAGGAGGGAAGGAAGGAAGGAAAGTTGGTTCAAATATCACTTTCTGTTCCAGGCATGTTATTCGGTATGACTCCTAAGGGTCCTTCCATTCATCAAGGGATGCAGAATTCTGCCCATTTCTTCCTGTGATGGAAAACACATTATTGAGCAATTTCAATTGCCCAAGATCTTTTACCTTTGGGGAGGGGTAGCAAAAACAATTTTCATCAAGATCTGCAGCAAACAAAAGAACTCATTCTCATGGCCTCTGCCCTCCATCAACAGAAAACTTGCAGACTTAAACAGTTTATTTTGGTAAAGAGTTAGGTTGTTTATGAAACATAAAAAAGACAGATAACTTATGAGACTCTCCTCCCCAACCCTACACCCTGCTAATCCTATTGTAATGATAGAGCCAGTAGGATAAATAACGAGTACATATGGGGAGAGATCAACTTAAAAGTGCTTTATCAACACATGATTTAAAAATAATAATTTTGATAAAATTTATCATTTGTTCTTGATACAATTGCTAAATAAAATTAGAATATAAGTAAATTTGTTAAACATAATAGAGTTCTTATAAAGAACAAATAGCAACCCCCTTAATAAATGGTGAAAAATTAGACATTTCCTTGTAGCTAGGAAAAACACATGAAGTCTTCTTCCACTACTTTATCACCTAAGTGATTTGTGAATATTTTCTCCAGACTGTTTCTTGTATTTTTTATTCTCTAACAGTAAGAGCAGAAGTTCTTAATTTTGATAAGGTCTGATTTATCAAATTCTTTTATGGGTTGTGTTTGTGGTATTCTAAGAAATCTTTGCCTAACCCAAGATCACTCAAACTTTCTCCTGTTTTCTTTTAGAAGTTTTACAGTTTTAGGTTTTGCACTTAGGTCTGTGATCTATTTCGAGATGTGGATCAATGTCCACTCTTTTGCATATGGATATCTAAATATTCCACCACACATTTTTTAAAAGACTATTCTTTCTTAAATAAATTGCCTTTGTATTAATAATCAATTGACCATATCTATGTAGTTCTATTCCCAGACTCTTTGTTTTGTTGATTTGTTTGTCTTTATGGTGACATCACATTGTCTTGATTTCTGTAGCTTTATAAGTCTTAAAGTAAGGTAGTGTAGGTATTACAAATTTGTTCCTTTTCAAAGTTATTTTGGCTATTCTAAAGCTTTTGCATTTCCATATGAATTTTAGAATCAGCTTGTCAATTTCTATTTTAAAAACCCTATTGGAGTTTTTGATTGGAATTGTATTAAATTTGAGGAAAATTAACATTTTTAAAAATATTGAGTCTTTCAATCCATGCATTTAAATCTTTAATTTCTCTTAGCAGTTTTGTAGGTTTCATATACATCTTTTATCAGATTTATCCCTGAGTAGTTCACACTTTAAAAATTATTGTAAATGGTATTTTTAAATTAAATTTCCATAGGTATAATCTATTTATTGAGGTATAACTTACATAAAATAGAATTCGCCAATTTTTTTTCTTTTTTTTTGAGACAAGATCTCACTCTGTGTCCCAGGCTTGAGTGCAGTGACGTGATCTCAGCTCACTGCAACCTCCACCTCCTGGGTTCAAGCAATTCTACTATCTCAGCCTCCCAAGTAGCTGGGATTACAGGTGCACAAAACCACGCCTGGCTAATTTTTGTGTTTTTAGTGGTGAAGGGATTTCGCCATGTTGGCCAAGCTGGTCTTGAACTCCTGGCCTCAAGTGATCCACCTGCCTCAGCCTCCCAAAGTGTTGGGATTACAGGCATGAGCCACCACACTCAGCCAAATTTACCAAACTTTAAGTAATAATTCTATTAGTTTTTTAAGTGAATTAATGTATTCATTACCAGTACAGGATATTTCCATTCTTTCCAAAAGTCCCCTCATGCCCCTCTTCAGCCAGTCTCCCATCCTTGCCTCAGGTTTCTGGCAAACACTGATTTGCTTTCCATCACTACAGTTTCGTCTTTCCCAAACTATCATGTAAATTGACTAAGATAATCTAAGACTTCTGCACCCAGTTTATTTTACTGACTTTTTGGAAATCGTCAATAATATTGTGTATATTTGTATTTCTTTCCATTATACCTGAATACTTTTCCATCGTATGGATGTACCACAATTTATTTCCTCATTTACATGATAATAGACCTGTAAGTTGTTTACATTTTGGATTCCTAATGAATGAAGGAATTCAAGGCTGCTATGAACATTTGAGTGTACCTTTGTGTGAATACATGCTTTCATCCCTCTTGGGTAAATGGCTAGAGTGGATGCTGGAGCTCCTCCAGAGAAGTTCATTTAAAAATTGTTAACTAGTTAATTGAAAGGCACAGAGTAAACACTAAGGGATCTAAGGTATCATGGATATAACAACTTTCAGAAAGGAGCTATGCAAGCAAAGAAAAGAGGTTGGCATTGTTCTTAAAATTTAAATTTGGAGGAGGAGCCTTACAGAACTGAAACTCAGATCTCTGAGAATAAGGTGCTTGATTGGTACAGGTCTAAATTCAGATGTGAGACTGGACTCTGAGAGGGGAACAATTGGCAGCTGTTTGCTGATGTCTCTGAACAGGGGTGATGAGGCTGGTTTCATAGGTGTTGGCATTAAAAAATTATGCCAAAAGATAGTAGCTTAAAACAATCTTAAAGCTTTATCATCCTTTATGGTTTCAATGGGTCAGGATTGTGGGGTTGGCTTAACTGGGAAGTTTAGGCTCAAAATCTTTCATGAGACTACAATCATCTAAAGGTTATGCTTAAGCTGGTAGACCTGCTTCCATGGTTGCTCACTCACATGACTAATAAGTTAGTAATAGTCCTCAGGCCCTCTCCGCAGGGGCCTCTCCAAGGGATCAATTGACTCTCCTTAGGACATGGTGGCTGGTATGCCCCAGAGTGAATGACCCAAGAGAACAAGGTGGAACAGCAATATCTTGCCTCAGAAGTTACACAGTCACCTTTCCACATGCTATTGATCATGCAGAACAACCCTGATAAAATGTGAAAAAGGATTACACAAGAGCATGGATACCAGAAGCCATCTTGAAGACTGGCTACCATAATACATTTATAGTTGTATTTTTCATCTATATGATCTGCCATGGCCTAAGAAAGGCTAAATTGAAGACTTTGACCATTGTTTTATACCTATCTCTCAGCACTCATGTTTTCTAATATCCTTTGCCATAAGTGTTTTAATGCCCTAATTTGGTAAATAAAAATCAAGACAGACATTATAATTGAATATGGTAGATTGAACAGACATTACTGCCACTCCCAGAACTTACTAAAATTCCAGCAAATGGAATTTGTTTGTTTGAGAATAACTTGTGTTTCTGTTTTTCTCAAGGTTTTGAAATAAATTTAATTGACAAATATTTACATATTCAAGGTGTACAATGTGATGATTTGACAGGTATGTATTATGTAATGATTACCACAATCGAATTAATGGACACATCCATCATCACCCCTCCTGCACACTGGATTCCCTGAACTTGTTCATCTTATAACTTCAAGTCTGTAATTTTTGACCAGTATTTCTCCATTTTCCCCAATCTCCATCCACTGTTAACTACTGTACTACTCTTGATTCTATGACCTTGACTTTTTTAGATTCCATGTATAAGTGAGGTCATACAGTACTTGCCTTTATGTGTCTGGTTTATTGCCCTTAGCATAATGTCCCCCAGGTTCATCAACATTGTCACAAATGGCAGGATTTCCTTTTTATGGTCAATGATATTTCAGAATGTGTGTGTGTGTATGTGTGTGACACATTTCCTTTATGTATTTATCCATCAATGGACACATGTTTTTTCTATATCTTGGCTATTGTGCATAATGCTGCAATAAACATGGCGGAACAGATACCTATTTGAAATATTGATTTCATTTCCTTTGGGTATTCACTCAGAAGTGTGATTGCTGGATCATATGGTAGTTCTATTTTTAATTTTTTCATTAAACTCCATATAGTTTTCCATAATGACTGTACCAATTTTACATGTCCACCAACAGTGTACAGGGTTCCCTTTTTTCCACACCCTCACCAACACCTGTTATCTCTGTCTTTTTGAGAATAGCCCTCCTAACAGGTGTGAGGTGATATCTCAGTGTGGTTTTGATTTGCATTTACCTAACGATTAGTGACGTTGAGCACCTTTTCATATACCTGTTGGCCTGGTATATGTCTTCTTTTGAGAAAGGTCTATTCAGGTCCCTTGCTCATTTTTTAATTAGGTTATTGTTTTCTGCTACTGAGTTGTGTAAATTCCCTACATATTTTGGATATTAATAGCTTATCAGATAATATGGTTTGCAAATGTTTCCTCCCATTTCATACGTTGCCTTTCCATTTTGTTGATTGTCTCCTTTGCTGTGCAGAAGCTTTTTAGTTTGATGTAGTCCCATTTATTTACTTTTGTTTTTGTTGCCTGTTCTTTTGGTATCATATCCAAAAAATCATTTCCAAGACTAATATCAAGGGGCTTTTTCTTTATGTTTACTTCTTATACTTTGTGTCGACCATTTCCCCTAGGAAATATTTTCTTCTAGGATTTTTATGATTTCAGGTCTTACACTTAAGTCTTTAATCCACTTTGAGTTAATTTTTGCATATGGTTTAAGACAAAGGTCCAATTTCATTCTTTTGAATATGGATACCCAGTTTTTCCCAACATCATTTATTGAGGAGTCTTTCATACCTCTAGAGTGTCTATTATTGGTGCTCTTCTCAAAGATTAGTTGACTATATATGCAGGGATTTAGATTTGGTCTCTATATTCTATTCCATTCGCCTATGCATTGGTTTTTAATGCCAGTACCACACTGTTTTGATTATTGTAGCTTTATGGCATAGTTTGAAATCAAGGAATATGAGGTCTCTAGCTTTGTTCTTCTTCCTCAAGATTGCTTTGACTCTTAGGGGTCTTTTTGGTTTCATACAAATCTTAGAATTATTTTTTAATTTCTGTGAAAAATACCATTGAAATTTTGATAAGAATTGCACTGAATTTGTAGATTGCTTTGGATAGTATGGACATTTTAACAATATTAAAGGGACAAAGTCAGAAGCAGGCTAATTTATGCTATAAAACACTCCTAAAAGGCTCAGAATTCAGGGGTTCTAGGAACCTCCAGAAGATGTTGCATATGTATACTTGAAAATAGGAGAAATGGTTGACATTATGTATAAGAAGTAACTAGATGCCACCAGGCACCTTTCATTGCCCTATGTAGCCACATTATTCTTCTCTACTCCTCCCCTCTCCTGCTTCATCAAGGCAGAGACTAGTACATGGAGAAAATTCACTAGAAAAACTTCAAATGTGACAACAGGAACAGATGAGGGGTAGATAGTCACATGAGAAGATTAAGTGAAACTTTGCATATTGAACAATAATACTTTTATCTACGCTCCATGTTGTGCTTCCATGAAAACATTAGCAGAATGCTATACTTCTCCTGGGCAGATGATGGGAGGATCTCATGCTTTAAAAATAGACCAGGCCAAGATTAAAACAAACAGACCAGAAAAGATAACTGTTGGGGACTGGGCTTAATACCTGGGTGATGAAATAATATGTATAACAAACCCCCATGACATGTGTTTGCCTGTGTAACAAACCTTCACATGTACCCCCAAACATAAAATAAAAGTTAAAATAATAAGAATAAACAAAAAAACAAAAGGCGGAGCTTGCAGTGAGCCAAGATCGCGCCACTGCACTCCAGCCTGGGCGACAGAGCAAGACTCCATCTCACAAAAAAAAAACAAAAAAAAACAAAACTTTAGAATATGATTATTGTAAGGTTTCTTAAGGAAACATCCCAGCCAAATCAACCCATAATATAGCCTACCTGAAGACTATACCCTCACTCTCTCTCTCTCATTTACATACAAGGTGTCCAATCAGTTCTTTAGTGGCTTCCTCTTAAATTCAATACAAGACTACCAATCACAGGACATTTGGGGAAAGAAAGGCTAAACAATAGAGCAAAACAATAAACAGAAAAATAAATAAATTAGGAAGAAATAGAAACGATTCAATAAGCAATGCAAGGAGACAACTGAAGGAAGACGTAGGACTAGAACTAATATCCTCAGAGAGATAAGAGAAGCTATCATATTCTTTACACAAGAAGAGGAAATTATTCAAAAGTAGTTTTACAAACAAAAAGAGCCCCTATAAGTTACAAATACGATAGCAGCAATTAAAAAATAATAATTGGAATTAGATAAAGGAAATCCCAGAAAGTAGAATAAAAATAAAAACAAACAAACAAACTGCAAAGGAGATAGAGAAAAATTTTTGAAGAAAAAAGAAAATTAAAGACTCAATTTAGGCAATCCAATATCCAAGTAGGAATTTCAGAAAGAGAGAACATAGAAAGTAGAAGGAAAAAATTACTTTAAAAGTAATTAAGAAAAATTCTCTGAACTGATGGACATGACCACCCAGATCAAGAAGTCCTCTGTGAATTCAGTATAATCAATAAAAAACCACCCACAAAAAAGCATATCAATGTGAAATTTCTAAACCCAAGTGATGAATTGTAGATCCTAAAGTCTCTGAGAAAGTAAAAGCAGGTCAAATACATGGACCAGGAATTATAGTATCACCATTCTTTCCAACAATACTTTAGTCTAAAAAAAGACAAGGAAAAATGCTTTAGCAATCCTAAAGGACATGTATATTTAACCTAGAATTGTAAACTTAAACTAAGAATTGATTGCGTAGAAAGTAAACACGTTTTGGGGCTTTTATTGTTTCAAGCAAAGAAAGTGTTTTTTTGTTTGTTTGTTTTTTTCAAAAAAGGCTTGATCAACTAAGTAATTACTGTTGGAGGTCAAGTGAAAAGGGGATTTATTGAGCATCGGATTCAGCAACATAGAAGTCGCTGGTACCCACAATTGGAGCAGTTTTGGTGAAGTAGTGAGATGAAAGCTTGATCGGAGGGATAAAAGAGGAGAATGAGAACACTTTCGGGAGAGTTTTATAAAAGGGAGCAGAGAAACGGGCAGCTTCATGAGAATGTAGCAAAGGATGAGTGCTTTATTTTTTTAATCTGTGTGCTTAGTTTTTAAGATGAGAAAAATTATAGAATGGTAGGATGCTGATACAAAAGACTTAGAGGAAAGAAAAATTGAGGACATGAGAGAGAGAGTTGAAGTAGTCTCCCTGGTGAGGGCAGAGGGGAGGAGAGCTAGAACACAAGTATGATGAATAGCCTTAGAAAAGAGAATTGGCAGTCCACCCACAGGGAGAGAAGAAAGGACAGGATACAGGCACACATTCTGTACAGTTGGTAGGCAGGGATGGAAATGTGGCTGTTTTCTTCAGATTGCTTTTTTTTCCTCATTGAAACAGGAAGTGAACTCATCCGCTGAGAATAAGGATGGTCTGGAAGTATTGGAAATTTAAGAAGAAAGAAGGTTCTATTTGTTTATTTTATTCATTCGGAGACAGGTTTCACTTTGTCGCCCAGGCTGGAGTGAAGTGGTGCGATCTCAGCTCACTGCAACCTCCACCTCCTGGGCTCAAGCAATCCTTCCACCTCAGCCACCAAAATAGCTGGGACTACAGGCGCACACCACCATGCAGGGTAATTTTTTAAAATTTTTGTTTATTTTTTTTTTTAATTTTTTTAGAGATGAGGTCTTGCTAAGTTGCCCAGATTGGTCTTGAACTCCTGGGCTCCAGTGATCCTCCCGCCTCAGCCTCCCTAAGTGCTGGGATTACAAGTGAGCCACTGTGCCAAGCCAGTTAGGTTTTAAATCATCCTCTAGATCATTATTTTCAAACTTTAATGTGCACAGGAAATACCTGGGGACCTTGTTAAAATGCAGACTGTGATTAAGTGAGCTGGGGATAGAGATCCTGCATTTCTAATCATCTCTCAAACGTTGATGTTGTGGAACTATGAACTACATGTTGAGTAGAAAGGAGGGAAGAAAAATGTAATTTTGATTTGCTGGGGAGCACCACTGGTCAACATAGTTGTTCATTTTCTCCCAGCCACATTCACTGCCTGATGCAGGTGGCAAGGATGTGGAGAGCTGTATTTTACCAAGGTCAAGTTTTCCCAGATGAATATGGAGGCAGAAAAGAGGACAAGGAAATTGAAGGTGCATATAAGGAAACGATTACGATGGTTTCTAGAATCTGAGAAGTGGAGACATGATGGGAAAAGGAGGCAGACTGTGAAAAGGTTACAGGATCAATGGATCATAGATCTCAGTGTGGTCAACAAAACTTGTTGGCTCTGGGTACCAGTAGAAGTGAGGTGAAACAGTCAGAGACCCAGATGCTTGGATTCAAGACAATGGAGTGTGCAGTATAGGTAATGACATGGGCCATTGTGGGTCCTGGGAGTATTTAACTGAAGTAGGTAGGATCTTTGTTAAAAGCCAAGGAGCTGAGAAGATATTGGAAGGGTGATCCATGTGGATACTGATATCATCAAGAATGAGGGAAGGGGTAGTGATGGAGAGAGTGACTGTGAGCCACGAGCTAAAATCTTCATGAAGTGACTGAGGAATCTGAAGATATCTGAGGCTCAGAATGGGGATGGTGTAGCAGAATTGCAATGGCATAAGATTAAAAGTTAGGCCATTAGGGAGAAGTGAGAAACATCCTAGAAGCAACGATAAGGATCTTTGCCTCTCTACATGGTGGTATGAGTGATGTGAGAGAGAAAAGAGATTGGCAGTCCTCTCACCTGAGAGGCCTTATGGGAACATGGTTCCTTAGGAGTCCAGTGAGAACAAGCAATTGAAGAGAACACTCACAGAGGAGGCTGAGGGCACAGAGGACTTAGCTGGTGACTGACAGAGCTTCAGGAGATGCAGTGAGAGGTTTGGGGGCTTTGGGAGCAGGTGGAAGGAGGAGTAGAAGAATTAGGGAATGTTCAGAGCCTCCCGAGGATGGGAGTCCAGGTGATGTTGGAAGACGTGGAGGTGTTGGCTTTCTGTGGTGGCTGATATGAAAAGGGATAGAGGGTATGATAGGATAGACTGCAAGACTCCAAAGCAGATAAGGTGATGAGTCTCTGAGTGCTGGGGATGATGGTCTAGGAGCTCTGTGGCCATCTCCTCATGCCTCCCAGTGTCAGTACTAGAGCCAGGGAAGGGCTCCAGAATTCTTGGGCACTTCTAATATTTCCTACCCTATAAGAGTTTGACAGTTTTATTGAGTATAAAGTGAGATGGGTGGCATGAAGTCATTTTACAAATGTAGAACATTATATGTAAAATAACTAAGCTTATTTACTCTTCCCTGGTGTTAATGAATGAATAGATTTTTCTTCTTAACAAGATGCAGTTACATTCTGAAACTTGGAATCTGCTGTCTTCGTCCTATTAAAAACAATATTACATTTAAAAATAATAATAATAAAAATCAATGGAATTGGTGGGTTAGATCTGTGAGTGTCCCTAGAGATGATTTAGCCCAGCTCCTTCATTTCAGGAATGGTGAGTTTCTTTTGAGAGGCCAAGGAAGAAATGTTTGCACTACAAATGCCTGCCCCTTACCCTTCATATCCAATTTAAACAAAATCCCCAGTCCCATTTTTACTGTTCCTTTAATGTTCTTCCATCTTTTAATGACAAGTATGTATCATAAACATCCCCTTTCATAAAATGAGGAAAATGATATCAGTCTACAAACACAGGGTTGCAAGAAGTACTCTATTTATTTATATTCTTTAAATCAATTCAAATCTTGCTTTTAGCACCCATCTCTCTGGGTTGGGAGGCAATTCACTATTAATTGCTGTGGGCACCTTCTTTTCTATATGACAGCAGAAGCCATGAGGTTTCCATGACACCTGCAGAACAGGGAAGGCCTTTCACCTCCATGCCCTTGTGGTTGCCCCTCACATCCTCATGTCCAAAACCCAGTGGTTGTCTATGGTCTGGAAACTCCCTGTTTCAGAAATATGATGTGCACTTGTAAATCTTTGTCTAGATGAGAACAAGGTCCCTTCTTTCTGAGAATTAAGCAAAATCAAAAGTAAAAATCCCATTCTTCTAAGAAAAAACTGGCAGTTCTATAGCCACAGTAACAAATAAATACCAGAACTGCTACTCCATTCAGCAGGAACGTACTTTCCTCTGAAAGCCAGCCAATAAATGACAGCCTCCCACTTTGGAAACCAACCAGTAAGTGGTGAGCTCACTCCAGTGAAACAGCTTCTAAGGCTGAGGTCAATCCACTCCTGCCTCTAGAAACAACACAACCCAAAGACGCTTACCAACAACCCATTGTCAGATCAGCAGGTTGCATTTTTCACTGAGGCCCTGCCTGTGGAGCAGAGCTCTCCCTTATGAAATTCAGCTTTTAGGTCTCAGATACTGAAAGGTAGTCTCTACATTCATCTCTTCTTTTTTTTTCTTTATTTTTGTTATTATACTTTAAGTTCTAGGGTACATGTTCACAATGTGCAGTTTGTTACATATGTATACATGTGCCATGTTGGTGTGTTGCACCCATTAACTCGTCATTTACATTAGGTATTTCTCCTAATGCTATCCCTCCCCCATCCCCCCACCCCACGACAGACCCCAGTGTGTGATGTTCCCCACCCTGTGTCCAAGTATTCTCATTTTTCAATTCCCACCTATGAATGAGAACATGCAGTGTTTGGTCTTCTGTCCTTGTGATAGTTTGCTCAGGATGATGGTTTCCAGCTTCACCCGCGTCCCTACAAAGGACATGAACTCTCCTTTTTATGGCTGCATAGTATTCCATGGTGTATATGTGCCACATTTCCTTAATCCAGTCTATCATTGATGGACATTTGGGTTGGTTCCAAGTCTTTGCTATTGTGAATAGTGCCGCAGTAAACATAGGTGCACATGTGTCTTTATAGTAGCATGGTTTACAATCCTTTGGGTATATACCCAGTAATGGGATTGCTGGGTCAAATGGTATTTCTAGTTCTAGATCCTTGAAGAATCCCCACACTGTCTTCCACAGCGGTTGAACTAATTTACAGTCCCACCAACAGTATAAAAGTGTTCCTATTTCTCCACATCCTCTCCAGCACATGTTGTTTCCTGACTTTAATGATTGCCATTCTAACTGGTGTGAGATGGCAGCAAAAGAAACTACCATCAGAGTGAACAGGCAACCTATAGAATGAGAGAAAATGTTTGCAATCTACCCATCTGACAAAGGGCTAATATCCAGAATCTACAAAGAACTTAAACAAATTAACAAGAAAAAATCAAACAACCCCATCAAAAAGTGGGCAAAGGATATGAACAGACACTTCTCAAAAGAAGACATTTATGCAGCCAATAGACACATGAAAAAATGCTCATCATCACTGGCCATCAGAGAAATGCAAATCAAAACTACATTCATCTCTTCTTTGGTACACCTTGTGCTGCCGTGCTGCTTTTTCCTACCTCATGGCTTCAGGCTGCCTTTTTCGGTCTGGAAAACCTCCCCCTTTTTCCTACTATTGCCTGTTAGCAAAAGTTCTCAAGTCAAATGTCAGAAACAGGAAGGGACTGTGTCAATCTGAGTAAAGTTCACCCCATCTATAGACATTTAAATTAAAGCATTTTAAAGCCATTGTGCACCCCAAGCACATTTCTTGCCAGAGTTCTATATCCACTCTTCTCTTCCCTAATTGTTCCTCAAAGGCACTTGGAATAATCTCTTCACTTGGAATGGTCTCTTCAATGAATTTAGGTTCCAACAAATATGTGAAGATCCTTTTATTTCAAGTGGCTTCAGGTTTCAGCCTTGCCAAAAATTAGAATTAAAATTTTAAAATGAATTAAAATCACAGGAATTATCTAGGTCCTGGCTACCTGCTTGAAATGGCAGAAGGAACAAATATAGAAAAATAAGCACAATTAATATTTTAACTCATCACACAGCAATTGAACCTTATTCCTTTCAACCTCATTAATTCCGAGTAGCAATAATTTAGACACATGTCACAAATAAGTAAATATTGCAAAAGAAAACCACATTCTTTAGCAAATCCTATTTGTATTCAATTTATTTCCTGGTTACAAATGAGTCCTCTAGTAAGGTTGGTTCAAGTAATCTATATGATAGTATGTAGTTAGCTCAGATGATGTTGTAGGTGAAGGTTTTATGTCAATTTTATTTTAGAGATTCACCAACAATGGCCTATTTTTGTAGTATATATATTACTCACAACTAATAAGCTTCAACCCTTTTATCTACCTAGTAAAGATTAATCTCACACAACTAGCTATATGAAAATCAAATATAAATACAGTAAAATTCAATTCAAAGTTTAAAATATATATATATATATATATACATATATATATACTGGGCAACTATTATATTAAGAGCCCTATGCAATACCCTGAGGATAGAGATGAGTACAAATACCAATCCTTGAGGAATGCATAGTCTAGTTTGGGAAAGAACATCAGTCTAGGTCTGCAACTTTCAGTTTGGTGATATGCTCTGGTGACCATACAGACAATACCCAATAAGACTGAACTCTTGATCCTGCGTTTTTGCACCTGCATCTAGGATCTCTTTGTCTCTTCTTGCCTTCCAGTCTGGTTTCTGACTGTGCCTCATCATAGTATTTCTCTCTGGCTAAGCACTTATCCCTTGAGGCTGAAACTGAAACCAATCCTCTAGGACTCTGGGAATGACCTCCACTTTCTCCTCCGCCAGTCCTACTGTGTGTATTTCCCACTGCTCTGAATAGCAACTCTAACTGAGGGAATCTTCTTTCTGCTGAGAATGCTTTCTGTTCCACGGAGGGAAATCAAGTACATAACATACTTATAAATATGCATAAACCAGGCCAGGCTCAGTGGCTCACACCTCTAATCCCAGCTTTTTGGGAGGCAAAGGTGGAAGGATTGCTTGAGACCAGGAGTTTGAGATTACAATGAGCTATGATTGCACCACTTCACTCCAGCCTGAAAGTAAGAGACAGAGAGATATTGTTTCAGAAAAAAAAGGGGTAAACCATAATATAAAGTAATGAACTGAGGCCTTCATGATGTTCTTAAAGATGATAAGTGCAATAGAAAGGAGGGAGCGGCCCCTGAGAGTCAGAGAAAGCTTTCCAGAAGAAAGAAATGAACTGTTATTTGTTGGAAAATAGGCACTTGGAATAATCTCCAACGCTTCTTTGTTGGAAGGGTCAAGGCTAGATAAGCAGAAGGATAGGGTGAGGCACTTCTACCCTCATTCCCAGAGCCATTATTACCACTAATGCTGCCACCACCACTACTGCAATGAACACATACACCCATACCCAGGAACATCCACGTACTCAATTCTGGATTTATCTTTCCCCTTTTAATTCTTACTTTGAAAGAGAACCAAAGCCGTTTTTAAACATTTGTGATGTTTTGTTTTTTTTAAGGAGCTTAAATGATGAGAACTACTTTGCCTGATCCCCGTTGTCATCTTTCACTGCCCAAATATTTTGAAAACCCATTAACTACAGCAGATTCTGCATAAACATATTCCAAATATAAAATTTCTAAGTCTCTAAGGAAAATACTGGCCATTATATATTGTCAAGATTATTTTTCTAGCAACTTCTCAGCATTGGGTTCTTCTGGTCATTTCTATGGCACAGGACATGCAATCTCTCTCTTTTTTTCTAACTTTTATTTTAGGTTCAGGATTTCATGTGCAGGTTTGTTATATAGGTGAACTGCATGTCACAGGGGTTTGCTGTACAGATTATTTAATCACCCAGATGATAAGCATAGTACCTGATAAGTGGTTTTTTGATCCTCACCCTCCTCCCACCCTCCACCTTCCAGTAGGCCCTGGTGTCTGTTATTTCCTTCTTTGTGTCCATGTATGATCAATGTTTAGCTCCCACTTGTAAATGAGAACATGAGGTATTTGGTTTTCTGTTCCTATGTTAGCTTGCTTAAGATAATACCCTTCAGCTGCATCCCTGTTGCTGCAAAGGACAAAATCTCATTTTTTATGGCTGCATAGTATTCCATGGTGTATATGTACCACATTTTTTTAATCCAGTTTACTGTTGATGGGCATCTAGGTTTATTCCATGTCTCTGCTATTGTGAATAGTACTGCAATGAGCATACACATGCATGTGTCTTTATGATAGAATGATTTCTATTCCTTTGAGTACCTAAAAATGGGAAGCTGGGTTGAATGGTGATCGATCCTCACCCTCCTCCCACCCTTCACCTTCCAGTAGGCCCTGGTGTCTGTTGTTCTCTTCTTTGTGTCCATGTATAATCAATGTTTAGCTCCCACTTGTAAATGAGAACATGATGTATTTGGTTTTCTGTTCTTTGAGAAATCGCCAAACTGCTTCCCACAATGGCTGAACTAATTTACAATCCCACCAGCAGTGTTTAAGTGTTCCTTTTTCTCTGCAACCTTGCCAGCATCTGTAATCCTTTAACTTTTTAATAATAGCCATTCTGACTGGTGTGAAATTGTTTCTCATTATGGTTTTAATTTGCATTTCTCTAATGATCAGTGAAGTTGAGTTTTTTTCATATGTTTGTTGGCCGCATGTATGTCTTCTTTTGAGAAGTGTCTGTTCATGTTCTTTGCCCACTTTTTAATGGAGTTATTTGGTTTTTGCTTATTAATTTAAGTTCCTTGTAGATTCTGGATATTAGACCTTTGTCAGATGCATAGTTTGCAGATATTTTGTCCCATTCTGTAGACTGTCTCTTTAGTCTGTTGATAGTTTTTGTTTTCGTTTTTGCTGTCCAGAAGCTCTTTAGTTTAATGAGCTTGTCAATTTTTGTTTTTGTCACAATTGTTTTTGGCATTTTTGCCATGAAATCTTTGCTAGAGACTAAGGACATACAATCTTTACGTTCATTGCTTTGTTGATTCAACAAATATTTCTTAAGTCTCTACTATTTGCCAGGCACAGGGCATGCAAGAGTAAGCAAAAACAGACACAGTCTCTGCTTCATGAAGTATTCAGTGTAGGGGAAGAGGTGGACATCATATTAGTTATCTATTATTATCTTTTGCTGTATAACAAATTATCCCAAAACCCAGTAGCTTAAAACAAGTTATCATTTATTATCTCACAAAGTCTGTAAGTCAGGAATTTAGGAGTGGTTTCACTGGGTGGTTCTGGCTCAAAGATTTTCATAGGGTAACAGTCAGAATGTTGGCCAGATGAAGGTTTGACTGCAGAGGAAAGATGTGCCTCTAAAATGGCTCACTCACATGCCTCCTGGCAGGAGGCTTCAGTTATTCACCATGTGAACTCTTCATATGGCTGCTTCGGTGCCTCATGGCAGCTGACTCTCTCCAGAGTGAGTGACCCAAGAGAGCAAGGCAGAAGTGAGATATCTTTTACGATTTTACTGCAGAAGTCACACATTATCTTTTCCACAATATCCTAAGTTCCATATATGTCAGCCTCATTCAAAATGGGAGAGAGCTACACTGAGCACAAATACCAGAAGGTGAGAATCTTGGGCTGGGTGGGGGACAGTTATCTTGGAGGCTACCAGGCATTTAAAAAATGTCAACACAAATAAATGTAAAATTATAGCTGCAGTAAATAAGTCTTCACAGACTTTGTGAAGATATATTTTAGTCTTTATTCTAAGAACATTAAGAATTCATCAAAATATTCTAATTAGGGGTAAAAAGTTTGTCTTTTAAAAGATCACACTAGAAGTTCTGCCTTGGGCAGTGTGTGTGTACGTATATATATATATATATATATATATGTTTTATATATAAACATATTTGATATATAAAATAATATATATACTATATATAAATACGTATATATTGCTATATTAATTTGTTTTCACACTGCTATAAAGAACTGCCCAAGAGTGGGTAATTTATAAATGAAAGACAGTTAATTGACTCACAGCTCTGCATGGCTGGGGAGGCCTCAGGAAACTTACAATCATGACAGAAGGGGAAGCAGGCACATCTTATATGGTGGCAGGTGAGATTGTGAGAGAGAACAGGAAGAACTGTCAAACACGTAATAAAACCATCAAATCTCGTGAGAACTCACTATCATGAGAACAGCATGGGGGAAACAACTCCCATGATCCAATCACCTCCCACCAGGTCGCTTCCTCAATATGTGGAGATTATGGGGATTACAATTCGAGATGAAATTTGGGTGGGGATACAGAGCCAAACTGTCAACTGCATTGCTGGGCACACAAAGAAGTATAAAAAATCCCTAAGGGCTAGCAAAAATGAAGAGTAAGCAAAAATTACAGAGATAAACAAAGATGGACAGAACGTAGCACTTCTGGGAGCAAAAATCCATTTTAGGAACCCAGAGTTTGAGGGATTAATGGTTGGCTGATTCAGGGAATGGGAGGGTAGCTCTCAGACTACTCAGGAGTCACTTGAAGAGGTTGTTGAGGAAAATACCCATCTGCTTGCAGAGAGAGCCAACGTGGGAAGCTACCTGTTTCTGCTCCTTTTCTGGGTTATATCTATATATAAAACAATAGACTTCCTGAGAAATGATATTATAGGCTTGTTCTGATACAAATTTGAGATTTAAATTTATGCTACCTCTGCCTAGGTAATCCCCAGAGCTACAAGTTAAATTAAAGTGGTTTCAATTTAATAGTACTATTGGATACCCTGCAGAAGCAAATGCAAATTCTTTCTAGAGATAAACATTCTTAGTCCAGAACCATCAAATAGTCACAGACTCAAGTCATTTAAATGTGAATCAATGAACAAAATATACCAAATAAATGAGTTAAAAGGTGCCATGAGGAGTGATCAGCATAAATAATTCTTTTAAAAAACCAGACTTCGGATATTAGGACTACCAGTTAGAGAATATGAAATAAGTTGTATAAAATATTTAAAGGAATTATAGTTGATTAGGCAGATTTTAAAAAGAACCAAATAGAACTTCTGGGAAGAAAAATGATAATCACCACAATCGAGCAATTAAAAAGCAGTTTGGACACAATACAACAAACAGTGAATTGGAAAAGAGAAATTAAGAAATTACCCAGAATGTAGTGCAGAGAACTAAGGAGTGGTGAAATATATATATATATATATAAATGTTAAGAGAAATGGAGGATAAAATGGGAAAACATCTAGTATATATTTTCAAAGGATTAAGTAGAAGAAGAAAAAATAATGGCTGAGAATTTTCCAGAAATAATGAGAGATATACATCCATAGATACAGGAATCACAACATAAACCAAGCAGGAAAAAGGAAAACAAATTCACACCTGGTCATGTTGTAATGTAACTGCAGGGTACCAAAGGCAAAGAAACTCTTAAAGGCAGTCAGAAAGAAAGAGCCACTAAACAGAACAATAATTTGAGTGAAAACAGCTTTCTCATCAACCAAAAAATGGAATCCAAAGACAATGAAATAATATTTTCAAAATGCTGAGAGAAAACTATGAACCTAGGATTCTCTATCCAGCAAAATTGTCATTCAAGACAAAGGGTGACGTAAAGATTTTTATCGTCTAACAAAAACTAAAAGCATTTACCACCAGCAGACCAGAGGAACTTCTCTGAAGAATGTACTTTGGAAAAAAGATAAATTGTTTTGAGATGCAAGAAAAAAGAGTACATAGATACATTATAGTTAGTGTTTGTGGGTTCAGCAATACATTCATAGTTGTTCCTTAAGCAAAAGAGAGAATTTTAAAACGAAGATCATAGTGGGTTAATGATGACAGCATATCATGAGTCCAAATTATGATTTATCCAATTATGTGCACATGAGATTTGAAGTTGGGGTGGAAAGGTCAGCAAAAAGAATGGTAAATACATAGGCAAATCTAAACAAATATAGACTGCATACAGCAATAATAATGTCTTAACTTGTGAATTTAAAAAATAGTATGATGAATCCCAAATTGGACATAATAGAAAATGATAGCATATAAACCAGGGAGAATGTGATTAGGCTGTTATGTTTTGTTTCTGAAGAAAATAGAAATAATTAATTGTAGACTTTACATTAAGTATACATATTCTACTTTTAAGAATAACAATGAAAAAATAGAGTGCATAATTTCCAATTCGAGGGAATAAATGAAATTTTTAAAAATACATTATTATATCATAGAAACAGTAACATACTGTTTTATAACATATATAGAATAAAATACATTTATTATGTTAACAGTGTTATCTCTGAAGCCATACAATAAAGTGGTTAAGAAGATAGGAACTGGAATCAGGCAGCCTGGGTTCAAATCTTACCCCCAGTACTCATTAGCTGTATGTTCTTGGGCACATCTGTGTTTTCTGTTTCTCAGCCTTCTCATTTGTAAACTAGAGATTATAACAGTATATATCTTATAGGGTTGTTTCATAGTTAATGAGTTAAATGTAAATTCTTAGAACAGAAACTGGTATAGAGTAAATGCTCACAATATTGCCAAGATTTTTGTAAAAATGGAAAAAGGTATAACAATTTTTATATGTTTGCTTATATGTATTTCTAGATTACAATTAACTAATGAGTGGTTGTGAGTAGGGGCAGAGAGACCTAACACTGAAAATCCTTTATTCCTTTGGATCCATGTAAATTTACCTATTTAAAAATCAAGTTAGAAATTTACTAAATATATTTAAATAGATTCTAATTTTTAAAGAGCTCACTTGTACATTAAAGTAGGCTCAGTGCTGTAACAACTGGACCCAAACTCAATAGAAATGTGTAACTAGCTCAGGTGTTTCCAGGTACTAGAGCATTCCCTCTTGCTTTTCCTCGACCCTACTTAAACTTTTAAAAATCTTTCCTTTTATTTTATTTCAATAGTTTTTGGAGAACAGGTGGTTTTTGGTTAAATGGATACGTTTTTTAGTAGTGATTTCTAAGATTTTTGGTGCACCTGTCACTTGATCAGTGTACACTGTACCCAATATGTAGTCTTTTATTCCTCACCCTCCTCCCATTCTTCTCCCTGATCCCCAAAGTCCATTACATCATTCTTATGGCTTTGCATCCTCATAGCTTAGCTCCCACTTATAAGTGAGAATGTACAATATTTGGTTTTCCATTCCTGAGTTACTTCGCTTAGAATAATGATCTCCAACTCCATTCAAGTTGCTGCAAAGGCCATTATTTCATTCTGTTTTATGGCTGAGTAGATCCCATGGTATGTATATATATATACACCACATTTTCTTTATCCACTCATTGGTGGATGGGCATTTAGGTTTGCTCCACATTTTTGCAATTGTGAATTGTGTTGCTATAAACATGCACATGCATGTGTCTTTTTCTTATAATGATTTCTTTTCCTTTGGGTAGATACCCAGTAGTAGGATTACTAGATGGAATCATAGTTCTACTTTTAGTTCTTTAAGGAATCTCCATAATGTTTCCATAGTGGTTGTACTAGTTTACATTCCCACCAGCCATGTAAAAGATTTCCCTATTCACCACATCCATACCAACATATATTATTTTTTGATTTTTTAATTATGGCCATTCTTGCAAGAGTAAGGTGGTATCTCATCGTGGTTTTAATATGCATTTCTCTGATAATTAGTGATGTTAAACATTTTTATATGTTTTTGGGGTGTTTGTATATCTTCTTTTGAGAATTGTCTATTCATGTCCTTTGTCCACTTTTTGATGGGATTGTTTGGGTTTTTTTCTTGCTGATTTGTTTGAGTTCCTTGTAGAGACCTTTTATTAAATTATCTTCAAATTATCTGATTTGAATGTGTCACCAAAGACTAAGCAAAGTAAAAACCATCAACTTGGGGGTGATTGGTGTTCCCAATAAAATGTGACTTTTTACCATGTCTTTCATACAAGTCTCATCCTCTGGTGTCTCTGGTGGTTAAAAGGACACACATCAGGTTTTTTGGCTTAGCTATGATTGGCAGCTTTTCCCAGCCAATTTGCCCCTAAAAACATAACATTGGGCAATGACTTAGAAATTTTTAAGATTAAAATTGAAGGAGATTAAAATTTTTAAAAATTTTTGATACTCTTCCACGGTAATAAAGACAGAAATAAGACTTTTTATCGTGTGTTTACATATGACATATGCTTTGTCTGTGTGATACATTTTATACCATTATAGATACAATACAAAAGGTTGAAATAAATACATACATCGTTCTTTGAAAAACTAAAGACTGTTAGCACCTTGAAAGAGGTAGGAAACAGTCTCAGGTTTAGTTAGGGAAGACATATCTCTGCAGTAGCTAAGCTCATGGTGCATGTTTATCTACGATTAAATGTTTTAGTCAGGAAAATTAGAAATGCCAATAGAGTAGAGCTAAGTATGAGTTGCCAGAATAATTCTGAGTGTGGCTAAACTGTAGTAAATTAGAAAAAACTATTCATCCCAATATAACTGAACTAAATTAGTGATTTACTAAGGAAAAGTATTAGGGAGAAAATAGCACAAAATGTGCTTGGAGAGGTAAGCCAGGGCCAATATCATGTAGGCATACTACAGACTATGTTATAGAGTTTGGGTTTTATTGAACACATTGAGAAATTATTGAAGGGTTAGATTTTGGCAGAAAAGTGACATGATTCTATTTGCATTTTAAGAAGAATGCTATGGCTGCTTTGTGATAATTAAATGGAAGCAGAGAAACCAGACTGGAGGCTCCTGCAGTGGTCACCATAAGAGGTGATGGTGACTTGGACTAGGGTACTGACTGTGAAAACAGAGGAGGGTAGCCAGAGCCTTACTGTAATTTGAAAATAAAATTACTTTGATCTGGTGATAGCTCTGATGTGGGATAGAAGGGAAGAAAGGTATTAGAGATGACCCTTAGGTTTCCAGCTTCAGTGCGTGAGGGAAAATTTTAGCAAAGACAAAGAACAGACGCTTTTAACAAAATGGGTGGAATGAGAAACAGATTGTTTATTCATCCCAATCCTAGTGATTTTTAAAGAAAGTGGATGTTTATAATTTGAGGATGTTTCTGTTTTCTCAAACCAAACAAAGTCATCATTGTCAGTATACAAGTTTTCACATACTTGGAAAATAATATGAATTGGCAGATGTGAACATGCAAGATCAAGGTAGCTGAGTCCAAGCTGAATGGCTCTACATATAAATGTGAAAAATGTGAGACTTGGAGGGAGATGAGGACTGCACTGGGAGGAGAGTGAGAGACCCTTGGCCTTTGTATAAGCAGTAGGCTCAAACTACCTCATAACCCCTCTGGCTAGTGAAGTGTGAGCTTCTCTACCTGGATCCTGCCAAGCTGGGGTGAAGAGAGGAGAGCAAAACGCAGTCCTTATACAGTATGAAGTAGTCCAGGACTGGGGTAAGGAGTCCTAATTCCTATCCTCTTGGTCAAATAGAAATAGATCTTTTAAAAGATTCTTAATTTAGAGAAGGAAATGAGAAAACCTTCCCTGGAAATATTGCTTTAAGGGTTCCATGGTGCATTTAAAATCATCCAATTGCGCCTCCATCCCCATATGATGCTTGAATACTTTTTTGAAATCATATCAATATTCAGCAGCCCTGCTATTGGGAAATTATTCAACTTCATCTCTGAATTACTTTATTAAACATTGTCTCTATTCTCTTCTTAAGAAAGCTAGAAAATTTCCAGGAGTCATCGCCTTTGAGGAGATAATTTTGAATGAACACTTAAGGACTAATGGAACACAGAGGTCAGATGTCCCCAAACAGAATCTCTGTTTTTGCTCTTTACTGTACTTGAACCACCCCAAATTCAATACTAGTTGCATTCCCCAAAGGGAATTCACTCACACTAGAAGCATTAATGAGCAACATAGATTTTGTTGAAATTTTTGCGACAGAATAGACTTTACATCACACACCACAAAGCAAAATGCTCAAAAATCCTCATGTGACAAGTTATCCTAAGTCTCCTCTTCTCTTGCCATTCCCTCTGGGAATTTGGCCTCTCTCTTGCAGGATGCCCCTCCAAAACCTCAATTCTTCACCATGTTATTGGGCTTTTCTCTCGGAAGTGTAAATCACAACTTACCAGAGTTGTCAACAAATAAAGAGCCCTCAAAAAGTGGAAGTTTTTATCCTATTATTTTCTCACAATTTGGTTCACTATTGAAGTTTCTAAGTTTTGCACGGCTTAGCTATAATTAAGTACATATGGCATTATTTCAACTTGGCAACCACAGCTACTATTTTCTTGCTACTTATACTCCTATAATCAGCACCAAGAAGACAGTCAGGTTCCATTAAATGTATGGGTTTCACACACCTGTGCTTCTCAAGGAGGTAGTTCCTAAGGGAATAATTTGAGGCCAAGCCACAGAGGACCCCATCAGTCTCAAGGAACAAGAGCCAAAGTGATTGGTGATGCTTGTGAATTGATGACCAAAGCCAGAGACAGGCTGAATAGAAAGACTGGAAGCAAGAGGTTGGCCAAGAAAAAAAAATAGACTGAAAGGACTAAGTTGTATGCAGGGGACACATCAGGTGCCACAGCACAAATGCACATGACACAGTTTCTACTAAGATCGAGTGAAAAAGAGATGAGGAGTATACAAATACCCCTGTCAATTAAATAACATTTTAATGACACAGACCAAAGAGGATATGTGAGTTTGCAAGGGCAAATACAAATTAAGAATAAAGGGGGGAAAATCTCCTTAGTACAAAAAGAAGGAGAGATAATTTCCCCATCCCTTTTCTTAGAGTATTTACTTAGAAAGTTTATAAATTCTTTCTCTGACTCTTTGAGATGGATGTGAATATTTTTAAAAGATAAATAAGCCTCTTGCCAGTTTTACAACCCAGGAATCTTTTTCTCAGGGATGTGGCACCCATCTCTTTGAAACGTGATCATCAAGGAAGATAGTACCCCCGTCTCCCCATCTCCCAGTTCCAATGGAAGGATAGGACTCTCTCTTTGGCAGGACACCTGACTGTAAGTTGCAAGACTACCACTTGCGGTAAAGATATGAGAAGTTATAAAAAAAAAAAAAGAGAGAGAGAGATATGAGAAGTTTATTTTTATTCTGGATAAAGTCTGTTAGCAAACACAAATAACCACCTCAATTACCAGGTGAGTTAGGATAAATTATGTGTGACAAAGGGCAGGTCAAAGTCCCCTTACTTGAGATCTGGTTATCCTTGAGAACATGCGTGTAATGGATTGTATCTGTTTGGTTTTATAAAGGGTGAGCTTTCTTTCTGTCTTTTTGATCTGCTTAGCAGATTGCCTGTGATCCACATCAGAGTCTGGTTTAAACTTTATTCAATAATAAAACTACTTTTTTTCTTTCCTATATTTTGTGGAGAGGATTTTCTGGATGGGTAGGAGGTTTTATTTTTTACTGTATTTCCCCTGAAGTTCAGGGTAGGAAAATAAGCTTTCTGATGAGGTAAATATCAGATAAGAGAAGGTCTCCTGAAGGGAAGACCTTGAAGATGGGATAGAATGTTGATTGAAGGAAGAAAGAAGTAGGCATTTCAGGCATAGCAGATGACCCAATAAAAGACTTGCCTGTCCCTAATTGTTGTAAACTTAAAGGCCACATTTAAGAGTTGTCTCAGAGGGGTTTGAAGTCTCATTGCTGATTTTTGTAGTTTCCTTATAATGTCAGGGGCAGATGGAGTAAAAAATGTATACCCAGGAGAGCTTGCCTATATGGGGAGTCTGGGTCTCCATTAGTATATTTCCTGAGTGCCCCAACCAAACAGCTGAAACCGAGTAGGATTTTCATCCTTTCCCTGAATTATTGCTCTAATCTTGTCATAATTGACTGGCTTAACAACACACTTTTTCCTCTACTTTTTCTCTACGGCACAGCAAGTGGACAATACTTGTAAGTCATGACAAGTTAAATTAAAGAACGTGGCCAACTTAACAAACTCCTCCATAAACTTTTCTGGATGCTCTGAAAACTGGCCAAATTTTTGCTTGTATAAAGCCAAATCAGATCTAGAAAATGCACATGTACTCTAAGTGTTCCCCCATTTCCATCAGCTACCTCCCACAATGAACACAGGTTTGACTTTAGGGGCTGATAGGGGACCCCATTCCTGGTGGTACTGGTTGGGCAGCAGGGTATATGTGCTGGGGCAAGTTGGATAAGGGGGAGGGTTGCCTGATGACTTTGGGGTAGAATCTTTCATTAGAGAAGTGGTGGGACCTGCACCCGGCCTGAGAACTAAGGGACTGAAGAGACTCTGGAGAGGGTGTAGGCCTTTTAGGAAGAATAGCTCGGAGGGAATCCCTTAAGTGCAGCTTCCTGGTATCTGGAAGTAACATGAGCCAGTAAAGGGCCATACAAGCCTGTACATAAGAGACCTCCTCCCATTTTCCTTCTTTTTTACAGGATAAGTCCAATTGTAAAACAGCAGTATAATGTATAGAACCATGTTTAGGCCAAATATCTTGGTTTTCCAATTTATATTAAACCCAAATGGTGTTGCGATAGAAAATGAATTTATTTTTCTTTAAGCTGAATTTCAATTTGCTCCTATAGCCCTAAAGACATCCTAGCGGTGAGTTTTCTGGGATGCTTATCATTGTTTCCATGTCAAACAAGGATTTCTAATGGACACAGAAGTTTTTCTAAGTCTGGCAAGAGGGAAAGAAAACGGGTCCTCACTATTTTCCTTTCAGATTTCTGCTGCCTGCAGAGAAGATGTAAGTGTAGGTAGCAAGGCATTACAAAAGTAGATTATAAGCATTTGCCAGTGAATTAAATATGACAAAAGAAGTATTTTTATAAAGCAAAATGTAAAAGGAAAAGTGTAAATAAAGTGACAAAGACAAGAAAATGCTATTACAGAAAATGATAACTTTAGGTCAGAAAACAAGAAAAGGGAAGACCAAGAATTCCCTAGGATGGACTCATAATCCTAGAGATAATGGCAATGCCAAAAACCCTAGAGCATCTGGGAGGCAGCCAACAATACCGAATGCTGAAAACCCAGAGTACCCAAGTATGGGCCAACAAGGGGCCCCACACCAAATGCTGAAAACTCCAGAGCATCTGAGGGGCAGCCAACAGTGAACCCCAAAGGGCTGGTTGGGGCCACAGAACAATATGACTCTGGCATCCCAGAGTCGGCAAAATGGGGACTTCTCACAACCAAGTGTCTTGCCTTAAACAATTGCCCAAATACAGTTCACAGAAAATCAAAGTTAAAAAAAACCTCAAACAAAACATACAATTGAGAACTGAAAATAAAACGGCTGGCTCACCCAAGCTGAGGGAACCTGGAGAGACTTTCACCCGAGTCCCACATAGAAGACCAGTCAGTGCCATTTTGCCTTCTGTGGATGGATGCGTGTCCCTCTGCCCTCCCAGCCCCCACCCCTCTTGAATCAAGTGAGCCGGGGAATAAAGCCTCTGGCTAGAGGGTCAGTTTAAAGTCCACCATCATTTGGGTACCCCAAAGCACGTCCCTGTCACCCCTTCCCCTGGTCCTTTTCCTCTGACTTCAAGCCTGGGTGAGCTTGGCTGCCATGTTGCGGGAGGATGGGGCGTGGCATGGGGACCAGTGACCTGCCGGCCTGCCAGTCAGAGTAGTGAGTCCCACACAAGGCAGCGGCACTATGGCTACTTGCCCGTCCACTCAGCTCCACTGGCAGGAAAGATGATGATCTTAAAAGAGACTTTGACTAGTGTTACAGCTCTATAATGCTAATTGCCGTCTCACCATCTCTCGCTAATCGCCGTCTTTCATCTCTCCAATCATCTCTTGATTTTTTCAATGGATTGGAATACCCAAATGAGAATTTTCTTAAAGAAAGGAAGGGCCAGGCATGATGGCTCAAACCTGTAATCCCCGCACTTTAGGAGGCCGAGGCAGGTGGATCACCTGAGGTCAGAAGTTCAAGACCAGCCTGGTCAACATGGTGAAACCCCGTCTCTACTAAATGTACAAAAATTAGCCGGGCATGGTGGCGGGTGCCCATAATCCCAGCTACTCGTGAGGCTGAGGCAGGAGAATTGCTTGAACCCGGGAGGCGGAGGTTGCAGTGAGCCGAGATCGCCCCATTGCGCTCCAGACTGGACAAGGGCGAAACTTTGTCTCAAAAAAAAAAAAAAAGAAGAAGAAGAAAGAAAGAATAATTATGACTTTTCTGGGTTCTTGCATATCTCAGGATGTCTCTTTTTTACTTTTGAACACCTATAACATTTAGGGAAGTATAGAATTGTTGGGTCAATTTGGTTAATGAGTACAAAAACAATACAATTGGATGTTATCTTGATCTGAGAATTGGAGATTTCTAATTAAGTTAGATTTTTATAGCTTTTGTTCTGGTGAACTATATTGCATGGGACATTAAACCCCAAGTGATTGCTGCTATCAGAACTCTTCCTGGCTCTGCAACTGGTGAGTTTCTTCAATGACAAAGAATTCTGGAACACAACCAATCTCTGCTCATCTTCTACCTTTGCCATGTTTGGTGCTAGGAGTATTAATCTCTGAGTGAATATACAAAAAAAAGGTGTTAGTAGGCAGGCATAAGACCGGAGTCTGGTTGTTGGTGTGAGGTTTGATGTTTTTCTATCTATGAAGCCCTGTATCCCTGATTTAGGAAAGAGGTCACTTAAAGCCTTTCTCAACTCTCTGAGGGGCTCCAAACTGTCTATTTCAGAGGATGACAAGGAGATGAATGATCTAGGATGATGCTCCTTGATTTACTCTAAAATTATATGCTCAGGAAAAATTCCACTCCAACTCTGACATCTCTTACTTTTATTTTCCAGCATGCTTTCCAGTTTTTATCGTTTTCTGTTTTTTTAAGGCTATTTTAATGAGAAGTTAGGAGGAGAAATATCAGGTCTGGCAGGCTGGTCTGTCACCATAGCAACCCAGAGCCCTCTCTAATTGTCTTTTGAACACACTGCTTATGTGGTATGACTATGTTGATGACTGTCTATGTCATTGGTAAAAATAAAGCTGTCAGTGTGGCAATTTTTCTAACTCAGAGAATCTTCTGCCCTGAGGCTGGATAAAAGCTCTGATTCGCTGGAGGAACTGATACTCTGGGGTAGAAGTGTTTTCTGTGAACTATTTGTCATTTGTGAAGAGCTCCTGTCTCCAGGATTTCTACTTTCTTCTCCCCTGATAGATCTATTGACTCCCTGGAAAGACAGGCAGACAAATTTATTAGTTCTTTTGGATGGGGGTCATGTTTCAGAGAGAACATCGAAAAATTACATCCTAAAGACAGGGGCCTGAGCTTACATTTTATCAGGGAACCTGCCCTGATATTCACGTAGGTTCTTTTCTATTTTCCTTAAGTGTCGGCCAGCTTGAGAAATAAAGGGACAGAGTACAAAATAGAGAAATTTTAAAGCTGGGTGTCCGGGGGATACATCACATGTCAGTAGGTTCCGTGATGCCCTACAAGCCGCAAAAACCAGCAAGTTTTTATTAGGGATTTTCAAAAGGGGAGGGAGTGTGTGAATAGGTGTGGGTCACAGACATCAAGTACTTTACAAGGTAATAGAATACCACAAGGCAAGTGGAGGCAGGGCGAGATCACAGGACTACAGGACCAGGGCAAAATTAAAATTGCTAATGAAGTTTTGGGCACCAATGTCATTGATAACATCTTATCAGGAGACAGGGTTTTGAGAGCAACCGGTCTGACCAAAATTATTAGGCGGGAATTTTCTTTTCCTAATAAGCCTGGGAGCGCTATGGGAGACTGGGGTCTATTTCAACCCTGCAGTCTCGACCACAAGAGACGCGCACACCTCGGGGGGCCATTTATAGGCCTATACCTCCAGGCATGTATTCTCTTTCTTAGGGATGTTTCTTGCTGAGAAAAAGAATTCAGCGATATTTCTCCCATTTGCTTTTGAAAGAAGAGAAATATGGTTCTTTTCTGCCTGACTCACCAGCGGTCAGAGTTTAAGGTTATCTCTCTTATTCCCTGAACAATCACTATTATCCTGTTCTTTTTTCAAGGTGCCCAGATTTCATATTGCTCAAACAGACATGCTGTACAATTTGTGCAGTTAACGCAATTATCACATGGTCCTGAGGCGACATACATCCTCCTCAGCTGACAGGATTAAGAGATTAAAGTAAAGACAGGCATAGGAAATCACAAGGGTATTGATTGGGGAAGTGATAAGTGTCCATAAAATCTTCACAATTTATGTTTAGAAATTTATGTTTAGACATTGCAGTAAAGACAGGCATAAGAAATTATAAAAGTATTAATTTGGGGAACTAATAAATGTCCATAAAATCTTCACAATCCACGTTCTTCTGCCATGGCTTCAGCCAGTCCCTCCATTTGGGGTCCCTGACTTCCCGCAACAACATTTTAGCACACTATTTTTCCTTTAGTTAGACCCTCACCAACACTGCTTCAGTAGATATCTTAATCTTGAGCTCTTGTTTGCAGACTATTAAACAAACTTACTAACTCATTTTACTGTCTCCACTCATTTTTTTTCCAATATTTATTATAAAAATGCTCAACCTTATAGTAGGATTGAAAGAATTTTACAGTGTACTCTCCACCTAGATTCTACCAGTAACATTTTACTCTAGTTGTTATATCACATATTTATCCATCTGTTTATTCATCCATCCATCTATTCATCTTACCTTTGATGCATTTCAGAGTTGCATACATCAGCACACTTCCCCCTAAACGCTTCAGCCAGCATACCATGGTCATTTCTTATTCTTATTTATTTATTTGAATAATTATGAAGTTGATTTTCTAATGTTTTATTGGTGGTGTACTTTCCCTTTTTGAAAAGTTTATTGCATCCTTCATCCATTTTTTATGAATATATTGGTTATTTGAATATTAATTTCTTAGGGGACTTTTACTGAAATTTAATTTTCAGTTGTTTCTTTCTGAATAATTTCTTTATTATGAGACATTTATAAAATCTTAGGGAAACCCAAAAAAAAAAATGAGATAACCATCTTTTCCTAAAAACTTAATATTTGGTTGAATTTGCCTTAAAATCTTCTTTGTACTGTTATCTGAAATGTATGTTTTTTCTGTTATTAAATGTATCAGTATTTTTCTGTTTAATTTTCTCTTTGGTGTAACGCTTTTAAATATTCATCTATATTTAAATATATTCCTTTTGTTTTATACTTTTATTTTGTTAATTTTTTTAAGGTGAATGAAAATGTAATGCATATGAGAAATTAATATTCTAAATTTATGAACAATACAGAATAATGTAAAATTTCTCAGGGTCTCATTAAACATTTACAAAGGTCAATAACTGATTTTATACAAAAGAGGATATTCAAATAAATATATAAAACATATTACCTTATCTGAAATAAAAATAATCATTTCAACAAGTTATTAATTTAATAACCTTTATGATAGTATTTTGCATAGTAAAGGGGGAAATATATTTTTAGGAGTTGCTATAGCATTTCTCTAAAGTATTGTGGCAGTGTGAATAAAATAAACCAAAAACTAATATTCTTTGACTGAGCAATACCAAAGCTGAAAATATAATAGAAATGTGGCAAAATCTTTTTTTTTAAATGTTTTGGACTTTTTTTTTATTATTATACTTTAAGTTCTACGGTACATGTGCACAACATGCAGGTTTGTTACATATGTATACATGTGCCATGTTGGTGTGCTGCACCCATTAACTCGTCATTTACATCAGGTATATCTCCTAATGCTTTCCCTCCCCCCACCCTGCACCCCATGGCAGGCCTCAGTGTGTGATGTTCCCTACCCTGTGTCCAAGTGTTCTCATTGTTCAATTCCCATCTATGAGTGAGAACATGTGGTGTTCGGTTTTTTGTTATTGCAGTAGTTTGCTGAGAATGATGGTTTCCAGCTTCATCCATGTCCCTACAAAGGACAAGAACTCATCCTTTTTTATGGCTGCATAGTATTCCATGGCGTATATGTGCCACATTTTCTTAATCCAGTCTATCATTGATGGACATTTGGGTTGGTTCCAAGTCTTTGCTATTGTGAATAGTGCTGCAATAAACATACGTGTGTGTGTGCCTTTATAGCAGCATGATTTATAATCTTTTGGGTATATACCCAGTAATGGGATGGCTGGGTCAAATGGTATTTCTAGTTCTAGATCCTTGAGGAATCGCCACACTGTCTTCCACAATGGTTGAACTAGTTTACAGTCCCACCAACAGTGTAAAAGTGTTCCTATTTCTCCACATCCTCTCCAGCATCTGTTGTTTCCTGACTTTTTAATGATCCCCATTCTAACTGGTGTGAGATGGTATCTCATGGCGGTTTTGATTTGCATTTCTCTGATGGCCAGTCACGATGAGCATTTTTTCATGTGTCTGTTGGCTGCATAAATGTCTTCTTTTGAGAAGTGTCTGTTCATATCCTTTGCCCACTTTTTGATGAGGTTGTTTGTATTTTTCTTGTAAATTTGTTTGAGTTCTTTGTAGATGCTGGATATTAGCCCTTTGTCAGTTGAGTAGACTGCAAAAATTTTCTCCCATTCTGTAGGTTGCCTGTTAACTCTGATGGTAGTTTCTTTTGCTGTGCAGAAGCTCTTTAGTTTAATTAGATCCCATTTGTCAATTTTGGCTTTTGTTGCCATTGCTTTTGGTGTTTTAGTCACGAAGTCCTTGCCCATGCCTATGTCCTGAATGGTATTGCCTAAGTTTTCTTCTAGGGTTTTTATGGTTTTAGGTCTAACATTTAAGTCTTTAATCCATCTTGAATTAATTTTTGTGTAAGGTGTAAGGAAGGGATCCAGTTTCAGCTTTCTACATATGGCTAGCCAGTTTTCCCAGCACCATTTATTAAATAGGGAATCCTTTCCCCATTTCTTGTTTTTGTCAGGTTGGTCAAAGATCAGATGGTTGTAGATGTGTGGTATTATTTCTGAGGGCTCTGTTCTGTTCCATTGGTCTATATCTCTGTTTTTGTACCAGTACCATGCCGTTTTGGTTACTGTAGCCTTGTAGTATAGTTTGAAATCAGGTAGCCTGATGCCTCCAGCTTTGTTCTTTTTGCTTAGGATTGTCTTGGCAATGTGGCCTCTTTTTTGATTCCATATGAACTTTAAAGTAGGTTTTTCCAATTCCGTGAAGAAAGTCATTGTTAGCTTGGTGGGGATGGCATTGAATCTACAAATTACCTTGGGCAGTATGGCCATTTTCACGATATTGATTCTTCCTATCTATGAGCATGGAAAGTTCTTCCATTTGTTTGTATCCTCTTTTATTTTGTTGAGCAGTGGTTTGTAGTTCTCCTTGAAGAGGTCCTTCACATCCCTTGAAAGTTGGATTCCTAGGTATTTTATTCTCTTTGAAGTAACAGTGAATGGGAATTCACTCATGATTCGGCTGTTTGTCTGTTATTGGTGTATAAGAATGCTTGTGATTTTTGCACATTGATTTTGTATCCTGAGACTTTGCTGAAGTTGCTTATCAGCTTAAGGAGATTTTGGGCTGAGACAATGGGGTTTTCTAGATATACAATCATGTCATCTGCAAACAGGGACAATTTGACTTCCTCTTTTCCTAATTGAATACCCTTTATTACTTTCTCCTGCCTGATTGCCCTGGCCAGAACTTCCAACACTATGTTGAATAGGAGTGATTAGAGAGGGCATCCCTGTCTTGTGCCAGTTTTCAAAAGGAATGCTTCCAGTTTTTGCCCATTCAGTATGATATTGGCTGTGGGTTTGTCATAATTAGCTCTTATTATTTTGAGATACGTCCCATCAGTACCGAATTTTTTGAGAATTTTTAGCATGAAGGGCTGTTGAATTTTGTCAAAGGCCTTTTCTGCATCTATTATTTTGTTAATATTGTAAGAACATTTAAATATTAATTCATCTGGAATACTTTGGTGCATGCAGAGTGTTTAGACTCTGGCTTAAATTTTTCCAAATATTTAACCAGTTAACTCAGCATTATTTATTAAAGAATTTAATCTTCCCCATTTACTTGAAACCACAAATTTAACTCCTATATAATCTTTGGTCTTTTCTTGAAAATGCTTTACAATAACTGAATAATCTATTATTTTATTTAATACATATTTGTGGTATATTTTAATGCCTAGCACTTCTGTGCTCCACTGGTGGTTCTTCCTTTCAATATTTTGTTTCCCTTCATGAATTACTTATTCTTCCAGACAAAAGATAAAATTGCTTTGCCAAACTCAAAACAAAAAAAACTCTTTGATATTTTATTTGCTATTTTTTGAATTTATAAATTAGTGTAGTGATAGTTGGCATCTTTGCCACTTAGTTCCTCTCATTGAAGAATATAATATATTTCTCTATTTAGTAGGTACTGCCAAAAAGTTTTCTTCGGTGATTGTACCAATTTACACTTTCATACAGTGTGTGAATGTTTCAATCATTACACATCTTTGCCAACTCTTAGTACTTTTGCCTTTTTCATTTTAACTATTCTAGTGGCTATGACATTGCTTATGACTTTATTTGCATTTCTTTGATGATTAATAAAATTATGTGCCTTTTCATGTTCTTATTTGCCGTTTGGATGTTCTGATTTTAATCAAGTGTTTATTCAAATCTTTCCTCTGCTTTTTTATATTGTATTGCTTGCCTTTCTCTTTTTGTTTTTTTATAAGTTATTTGTACACTCAGGATTTGAGTCCTTTATCAGATGTATGTATTTCAACGGTCATCTCTTACAATGTGGCTTACCTTTTACTTTCTTAAAATTCATAATTGTTTTCACCTTATTAATACATTCTTTATTTGTCTTCCCTCTGTCAAACCCTGAGCCAACCACGTTCCCCAGGCTACCTGGGAATGTATAGGAAAAAAGAACATACAGGGCCAATGAGACATAGGAGAAAGAACTATGGGAGGTGGAGATGGCTCATTCACATGGCAAAAAGAATGAGAGAGGCTATCATCAGGCAAAAGAGCCCCATGACCTCCCACAGGGCAAAGCCCAGAATGGGATAGAGGAGCTGTTGCTTCAGAGAAGGTTTCCTGGCATAACCAATGATGATGCTCCCAAACACAGTCCCAACCAATCCCTGCCCCAGAGCCAGCCACCCCAACTGTAGCAGCCCCAACTCCAATAAACTTGGCTGCTGTGTCAATGTCTCTTGAAATTGCACTGGTTTGGAAGTTGCAGGTAGGGACAAGTGAGATAAGGGGATGTGAGACTGCCAAGCTGCTGAGGCTCTCATCTGTCAGTGTCTCTGGTCATTTCATCACCACTGCAGATAGTAGGCAGCTCAGCAACTGGGAGGTACTCTTGACCAAGAGTGGGTGGAGGCACACTTGGAGCAGCTGTACATTTTTAGGGGTGAGGGGCTTTGGGAACACAGTTGCTTTCAGTGCAGAGAAGGTAGAGAGCAAAATTCATAATTTTAATGTAGCTAATTTATTAGTTTTTTTCTTTATGGCTAATGCATTTTATATCTTGTTTAAGAATTTTTTGCCTACCCCAAGGTCGTGAGGATATTTTCCATTTTCTTCTAAAATCGCATTGTTTTCTTTTTATAATTGTAACTCTGAACTTGATTTTTGTTTATGATGTGAGGTAGTGGAAAAAGGTAATTTTTCCGTGTGCATTTACAAATGACCCAGTAAATAAATTTCGAAAGGATAAAATTATAAGAATAAAAGGGAATGTTAAAGCTGCCTGAAGAGCTCTGCAGACCCACTGTCTAGCAAAATAACCATGAGTGAAAATTATATTTAAAAAGAACAACTATATAATAATTACATTAAACAAATGTATTAATCTTCCAATTAAGAGGCAGAGATTGGTAACATGGACTTTTAAAAATCATTAATTTTATCCTGTCTATAGGAGACTAATTTTAGATTCCAACATACAAATACATGGAAAGTAAAACAATAAAAGAGGATACAACCATTAGAAAGTTGAAGTGGCAATACTAACATAAGACAAAATCAACTTTAAAACAAAAACTGTTACTAAAGGATACATTTTATAATGATGAGTCATTATTTATAGAGGTATAATAATTATAAACATGTATGTACCTAATAACAGAGCCCCCAAATTCATGAAGCAAAAACTGACAGATTCAATAAATAGATAATTCAACAATAATAGTTGGAGATTTCAATACTCTACTTTCTGTAATGAATAGAATAACCACACAGAAGGTGAATGAGAAAATAGGAGACTTGAATGACAGTGTAAACCAACTATACCTGACATGCATCTGTACAATAATCCACAAAATAACAGCAAAGTACACATTCTTCTTAAGTTCATAAGGAACATTCTCCAGAACAGACCATGTGTTAGGCCATAAAGCAAACCTCAATAAATTAAAGAGGGTTAAAATCATACAAAGTGCATTCTCTATCCAAAAAGGAATCAAATTAAAAATCAAAAACATACAGAAAAAAATTTCATTCACAAATATATAGAAATTAAACATCAGACTTCTAAATATTCAATGGGGGAAATAAAAAATTTAAAATACTTAGAGATGTATTAAAATAAAAGCACAACATTTCAAAAGTATGGAATGAAGCTAACACCATGCTTAGAAGGAAATTTATAGTAGTAAAAACCTATCTTTAGGAAGAAGAAATATTTCAAATTTATAACCTAAGCTTCCAATACAAATCACTGGAAAAAAGAATAAACTAAACTCAAACTGGTAAAATTAAGGAAATAGTAAAGACTATAATGAAAATTAATGAAGTAGAATACAGAAACAATATAGAAAACTAATGAAGCTGAACATTGTTCTTTAAAGAGATTAACAAACTTTAAGCTAGACTGACCAAGAAAAAAAGAGGCACGACAGATTCCTAAAATAAGAAATAGAAGACAGAGCATAATACTGAACTTGCAGAAATAAAAAGGGTCATAAGGTATATGATGAGCAGTAACTGTATGTTAACAAATTAGATAACTTAAATGAAATGGGCAAATTCCTAGAAGACACAAACTGCAAACTGACTCAAGAGGAAGTAAAAATCCTGAAAAGATTTAACAATAGATTGAATTAGACATTTAAAACTTCCCACAAATAAAAACAGGCCCATATGGCTTCATTTGAATTATACCAAATGTCTAAAGATAAATTAACATCAATTTTCCACAAATTCTTCCAAAGGAGGGAACACTTTCTGACTCATTCTATGAGCCTAGTATTACCCTAATACCAAAACCAGACAAACATATTACAATAAAATAAAAGTTTACATTGATAACCTCTGTTAGTGCAATAGCAAAAATTCTCAGCAAAGGACTATCAAACCAATTCAGCAACATAAGAAAAGGATTATAAACCATTACTCAGCAAGATCTATACCAGCAATTTAAGGTTGGTTTAACGTCCAAGAATCAATGTAATACAGCATGTCAATAGAATAAACGACAAAAGCTACATGAGCATCTCAATAAATACAGAAAAACCATTTGACAAAATTTGACAGTACTTCATGAAGAAAATATGCAACAAATAATAAGTAGAAGATGGGATTTCCCTAACTTGATAAAGGGCATCTTCAAAAGTCTCATAACTAACATACTTAATGGTAAAAGACTGAGAACTTTTTTCCTAAGATCAGGAATGAGACATGAATGTCTGCTCCCTCTTCAACTTCTATTCAACTTTGTACAGGAGGTTCAAGTCAGGTCAATCAGGAAATTTTTTTTTTTTTTTAAGCATTCAGTTGGAAAAGAAAAAGGAAAACCATATATATTTGCAGATGATATTATGTATAGAAAATCCTAAGGAATCCACTAAAAAAAATCATCAGATAATAAATTAGTTCAGCAACATTACAGGATAAAAGATAGATTCATTATTTCAACTGATCAACATAAAAAATCAGGCCAGGTGTGGTGACTCATGCCTGTAATCCCAGCACTTTGGAAGGCTGAGGTGGGAGGACCGCTTGAGCTCAGGGGTTCGAGACCAGCCTGGGCAATATGGTGAGACCCCATATCTCCCAAAAATACACATACACAAATAGCTAGGCATGGTGGTATGCACCTGTAGTATCAGCTACTTGGGAGGCTGAAGGGGGAAGACGGTTTGAGCCCAGGAGACAGAGATTGCAACGAGCCGAGATTGCACCATTGTACTCCAGGCTGGGTGACAAAGCCAGACACTGTCTCAAGAAAACAAAAAAGATCAATTGTATGTCTGAATATTATCAATACATAATACGAAGAGGTCCCATGTTCATCAATTGGATGATCTAATTTTATTAAAATGGAAATACTCCCCAAATTAACCTATAGTTTCAGCACAATCCTCATCAAAATTCTAGCTGGCCCCTCTGCAGTAATTGATGAGCTGATCCTAAAATATATATGATAATTCAAGAGACCTAGAATAGCAAAAACAATTTTGAAAAAGAACAAAGTTGGAGGGCTTGCATTTCCTCATTTCTAACCTGGCAGTAATTGAGACTGTATGGTACTGGCACCAAGACAGACATATATCAATGGAATAGAATTGAGAGTCCATAAATAAACCCTCTCATTTATGGTAAATTTATTTTTAACAAAAATGCCAGGACAATTCAGTGGTGAAAGGATAGTCTTTTCAGAAAATAGTGGTAAAACAACTGGATGTCCACATGCAAAATAGTAAAATTGGACCCCTACCTCATACTATTAAATACATGCAAAAATACACTCAAATTGATCAAAGTCATAGACATAAGAGCAAAAATTATAAAATTCTTAGAAGTTAATATAGGTCTAGATTTTTATTAACTTAGAATAGGCTGATTTCTTAGGCATAACACCAAAAGTACAAGAAGCAAAAGAAAAAACTAGAAAAATTGGACTTTATAAAAATTTAAAACTTTTGTGCCACAAAAGACACCATCAGAAGAGTGAAAAGACACCCACAGAATAGGAGAAAATATTTGCAAATCGTATTTATGATAAGGGACTTGTATCTAAAATATATAACACCTCTTACTCGTATAACTCAATCATGGAAAGAAAGCCCAATTAAAAATGGGCAAAGGATTTGAATAAACATTTCTCCAAAGAAGATAGGCAAATGGTCAGTAAGTACATGAAAAAATGATCGATGTCATTAGCCATCAACTAAATGCACATTAAAACCACAATGAGATACTACTTTACACCCACTAGGATGCCAAAAAGTCAGATAATGACAAGCTATTGAACCCTTGTAAACTACTAGTGGGATTGCCTGGGACAGAGCTGCTTTGGAAAATAGTCTGGCAGTTCCTCGAAAGGCTAAACCTAGATGGAGAGTATTAGTTTCTAGGTCTTCCATAACAAAGCACCACACACTGAGTGGCATAAACAACTCTCAAGTTCTGGAGGCTAGAAGTCTGAGATCAAGGTGCCAGCAGGGTTGGTTTCTTCTGAGACCTCTCTCTTGGGCTTGCAGATGGCTGTCTTCTCCCTATGTCTACACATAGCCTTCTCTCTGTATCTATCTGTGTTCTAATCTTCTTTCTTATAAGGGCACCAGTCATATTGGATTAGAACCTATCCTAAGGGCTTCATTTATTTTAATTACCTCTTTAAAGATCCTGTCTCCAAATACAGTCACATTCTAAGGTGCAAGGGAGTAGGACTCCAACATATAAATTTGAAGAGGACACAACTTAGTACATGACAGAGTTTCTGTATGACCCAGCAATTTCATTCCTAAGTGTCTCAATTTGTTTGATCTGCTATTTAAAAAATACCATAAACTTGGTGGCTTATAAACAACAGAAATTTATTATCCACAGTTTTGAAGGCTGGGAAGTCCAAGATCAATGTGTCAGCAGATTTGATGTCTGGTGAGGAACCATTTTCTGATTCATAGGCGGAGCCTTCTTACTACATTCTCAAATGGTGGAGGAGGCAAGGCAGCTGTCTGGTGCCTCTTGTATTAGGGCTCTAATCCCATTCATGAGGGCTCTACCCTCATGACAATTACCTCCCAAAGTCCACACCTCCTAATACCATCACATTGGTGATTAGGTTTCAACATATGAATTTGAGAGGGACACAAACATTCAGACCATAGCACTAGATACCTACCCAATAAAAATAAACATATGTCCCACACAAAAACCTTTTCATGAATGTTCATAACAACATTATTCATAATATCCAAGAAGTGGAAATAATCCATATGTCCATCAACTGGGAAACTGACAAAATATAATGCTCTTTCAATGGAATATTCTTCAGCAGTAAAAAGTAATAAAATACTGATACGTATTTTAATCAGATGAATCTTGAAAACATTATTCTAAGTGAAAGAAACCATTCACAAAGCACCACACATACTATCAAGTCAGAGAGTAGATTTATGGTTACCCAAGGTAGAAGGGTGGGGAAGTTGGAATGAAATGGTGAGTGGCTGCTAATGGGTACAGATTTTTTTGGTTGGGTGATTGTGATTTAAATGTTGAAAAATTGATTGTGGTGATGGTTGCACAACTCTGTGAATGTACTGAAAACTATTGAGTTGTAGACTTTAAATAGCTGAATTATATGGCATGTTAGTTATGTCTCAGTAAAGCCATTATTAAGAAAATAAGACCACTTCCTGGAAATAGAAATGCTATTATAATAGGTAACACATAAATAAAGCCATTAGATGTTAATATAGTCCCAAAAAAATCTGCTGAAGCATGTATTCCATTAAAACACACGAAGAAACTAACAAATAGAAAGCCATGGAATCCAGAAAACAGATCATCAACATAAGACAGAGCCAAAGTATTCCCAGTATGATGGTGAAGGGAGAGAGCTATACAGCAAGAGCAGTCCCGAGTAGAGCAGAAAGGCTTCAGGAGAGATGGAAGAGAGACAAACCTGATAGAATAACTCATGTATTTAATAAAGTGAAAGGAGAGTTACACTTCCTACAAAATTTGGCAATGAAATGTTGATGCATGTATAAATGACAGTCAAACAAAACAAGAAATAGAAGTGACCGATACTCCTAAGAAAACAATAAATTGCACACAAAGTATAAAACATGGCTCTGTTAGGAACAATATTTGCATAGTCATAGTAATATAGACAGTAAACATTGATCTCGTTTAAATAGATATAATTATTTGGAGGATGATAAGGGAAATGCAAAGGTGGTTAAGACAGCCTTTAAAGAAATTCTATAGAGAATATCTAAAACTAGAAAAGCAAGAAAGAGATGCATGAGAATATTATACAAAAACGAAAGAGTTAAGTGTGGTTGTCTTTAGAGCGCATGAACTGGGGAGGCAAGAGGCAAGAAAATTTTATCTTCTATAGTAACCTTAGTAGAATCAATTGACTCTTTAATCTATGTACATGGAAAGCCTTATTAAAAATTAAAGTTAAATTTTAAACAGAGAAAAGAAATACTATGTGGCAGATTTCCATTTCTATCAATATTACGTGCTAGATATACTGAAGGGAAAAACCTCTCACTAAAAAGTATCTAGAAATATTGGGTGAAATTCACTAACAGTCTTTTAATTCTATACCTGAGTTTAAAGAAAGTGAGGGGAATCCCCAAAACAAAACCAAAAAGAAACTGAAAACCAGAAGAAACCAGCATCATTTATTAGTGTTTTGTAGTTTTCATTGTAGAGGTCTTTCACCTTTTTGGGGGGTGGGGGATAAACGAGTCTCGCTCTGCTGCTCAGGCTGGAGTTCAGTGACACAATCTCGGCTCACTGCAACCTCCGCCTCTCAGGGTCAAGCAATTCTCCTGCCTTAGCCTCCCAAGTAGTGCCGCCACCATGCTTGGCTAATTTTGTAGTTTTAGTAGAGATGGGGTTTCACAATGTTGGCCAGGCTGGTCTCGAACTCCTGACCTTAATGATGCACCCCACTTGGCCTCCCAAAGTGCTGGGATTACCGGCTGTAAAATTGATTTATTTTAATCAATAAATTGATTAAATTTATTCTTGGGTACTTCGGGTTTTTTGTAGGTATGTAAATGGAATTGCTTTCTTGACTTCTTTTTCAGCTAGTTCATTATTGGTGTATAGAAATGCTAGTGATTTTGTATCCTGCAACTTTACTGAATTCATTAATCAGTCCTAAGGGCTTTTTGTGGCATCTTTAATTTTTCTGTATATAAGATTATTTCATCTGCAAAGAAGGACAATTTGACTTTCTCTGTTCTTTACTCTTATTCAAGGATACTAATAAGGTATAAATAAAATCCTTTTTATTTTTCTATTATTTTCTCTGTAATCCTTTCAAATGCTCTTTTGCTTTTCCATTTTATTTTGCTCATTTTTCTGAAACCTATCCTCAATATTCCTAACTGTATTTTTGGTACTACCTTTTCTCCTTTTATTGATATTTCTAGCGTGGCTATCTTTTATATAATGGCTTCAGTCTCTCCTCTAATTTTTTTTCTCCTGGCTCTTCCAGCTCATTTTAAAAATCCCTTTCTAGAATTTTTTTGTTATTATTTTATTCGTACACTTGTCTGTATTCTTTGAGCTCTTGGTGCAAAGAGACATATTTCTTTTAATGTATCTTATTTTAATTCAAGGAAAGTGTTCAATATTTTCTTATGCTTTGTAACATAATTACTTTGGTGTTCTTGTTATAGTGAGTTTCTTCATTTTTATCTTTTAATATTTTTATCATAGTTTCTGGCTGGATTTTTAAATTATTGTTTATATTTTAATGGGAGCTAGTTTTTCTTGGTCAGCTGCTTGCTGAAGAATAGTGTATGGTAACAGACATCAGTCTAGGTGACCTGGCCCAGCTGGCAAATAGGGTCTAGATCTATTGCCTCAAAATATTCTCCCACCAACTTTCTACTCTGAAGCTCTGTCTTTTGGAGTTAGACATGGGACTCCATGAGGCCAATATCCCAGATTCTTCATGTAGTGACTTTGTGCTTAATCCTCTTCAAATGACCTTGCCCCACAACATTTCTCCTCTACCCTACCACAGCTTGACTCTCATGAGATGGCATCTCTGCTACTCTTTACATCTGAACTTTCTTACTGCTTTTTAATATTAAGTGAGGCTCAGGGATATTCCAGTAAGCCATCTGTTCCAAGATCAGAGGTTGTTTGTACCCTCATTAACCACCTACACATGGAGAATTCTATGCAGTGGTGGAGTCTGAAGAAGTAACTTCATTTATTCAAAAAATATGTGTTGAGTGAACACCACATTGCAGGTACTGTTCTAAGCCTTCAAAATGCATCAATAAACAAAAGAAAAAATATCTCTGCCCTTGCTGAATTTGCCTTGTTGGGAGCAAGGAGAGGGGGAGAGACTATAAAAAATAATACCATAAATTATAAAAATTGATAAATATATTGGGGAGAAGTGCAGAAAGGAGGAATCAGGAGTGGTAGAGGATAAACAATTGCAATTTAAAAGAGAATGGTCTAAATTTCACTGCATTTGGCAGCTATTCTTCATTGATTGTGGGTTGAGATTTTCTTCTCATGTGGTCTCTGCTCTTTTTGTTGTTTCAGAAGGGAGAATGAAGTTGGCTTATCTTGATTCTGCAATACTTAACTGGAAGGCCTCTACCATCTCCTTTTGCATAAATGTATTTATTTCATAAGTTATGGTGATTTGTAGTGTAACATTCCTTTCTGTTTTCCTTCTTTGCCATCATTCTGTATGTAGGAAAGATGGAGAAATCCGAGAAGTTCTTGAAATTCAACCATTCTTTCCCTAACCTGAATCCAATCACATTATGACTTACATAACTCTTGCGAGTTCTCTTGAACTTTAATTAATTTATGACAATTGGTTTGAGTTTTGTGGTTTTCCTTTTAAAGGTACATTCTCACATAATTTGGAACAGGGGCGGTGGGGGTGACACCCATGAGAAAATAACCTCCTCTTCTCTTTTCCTCATACCTAAATATATAGTTACATTTGTAGGAATACTTATATATTTCTAACATGTGCTCATAATATTTGAAGATAAAAGCTACACTCTTATAGGTGTAACTGAAGAGTGGAAGTCTTTCTGACAGAAAATCAGGACTGAGAGGGGATTACCAAGGTAGCATCCAGGGGAGACTCTAATTTTGATTGTTCAAAGTGTCAAAGAAGAGATTTCTTAGTGGCAGATTTTGGATGTCATCCACCAGGTGGAGGGGACCTGAGAGTGAGAAAGTCCCCAGCCCTCTGATCCTTATTTTCTGGTGGCTTAGCTGGGTAGAAGTGGCCAAGGAACTGTCACGATGGTGGTTCAAGACTCCTAGAAACATCTGGGCTGAAAAACTGAAACTGACCCACAGAGAGAAAGAGAATTAAACATAGAAATATAGAGTTTAGTCAGTATTTGAGTTTCTCGTTCCAGAAGCACAACTGTATACATTTCCTAAGAAGGATGCACGAGCCAACAAATTTTTATTGCCCTAACTGTTTTGAGTTTCACTTCTGTCACTTCCAAAAGAATCTTGACTAAAGCACAGGGGAGGAAGGGCCTTTCTACAATTGAGCAAGGGATTTAAAGGAGGAGCTTTGAATGCCTACGTATCAGTTAGGGTACTGTTGGGTTGCTGTTTCCAGAAAACTTGATAAACAATGGCCCAAACAAGTAATTTGTCTTACATGACAAGAAGTCTGGGACAGGCAGACCAAGGCAGGTAGATTGAAAGTCTATGCCCTCAAGACTCTAGACTCTTTCCATCTTTCTGCCATCCTTAGTGAAGCTTCCTGGATCTCCAGGCTCGTGTCTATATTGTAGGTTAAAAAACAGGCAAGAAAATGGAAATACAGCACCAGCAGTCTCCCACCTGCTTTTCATTAGCCATAACTCAGTCACAAGGCCCCCGTAGCTACAAGGGAGTCTGGGAAATTCAGCTTTCAGCTTTCTAAACTTTATAGTGGAGTAGGGTTGGGATGGTTAAAACCCAAGGAGACAAGGTGGTGGCAGTGAGTAAAAGAGTCAGTAAGAAAGGAAGACAAAGCCCGAGAAACAGAGTTTGTTCTGTTTGTCAGCCATCCCATCAGCCGAAAGATCCTCCTCCCACAGCCAACTTTGAAGATTCCTGGAATAGAATGTGGATCGGAGGGCGCTCTTGCTGTTAAGGCAAGTGATAGTTGCAAATATAATTCATGTAATTTTATTACTTTAAAGATATATATATATAGACAGAGAGACAGAGTACTATATGTATATAGAGTACTACAGTATATATTTTATATAATATACACATATGTTAAACCATGTCTAAATACTAATGACAAACTGTAAAAAATATCAGTAGCACATACGACAGATAATTTTCTTTATTTGCAAAGAGATCCTAAAATCAGTAAGAAAAAGATAACCAACTCAGTAGAAAATTTGACTTAAAAGATATAAATATAAAGTTTATAGAAAAAGAAGCCAAAATAACACCCCCCAAAGCTAAAAAGTTGATTACAATACTCATAATAAAAGAACTATAATAAAAACAGGCTTGCCAAGACTTCTTCCTCCTCAGTGCACTTTCTTCTCTCGGCGCTTCCAGGAAGGACATCACAATATCTTGATTTTCCTCCTAGTGCTCTGGTCCCTTTGTCTTGGTCTCTTTCCCTGGTTTCTCCTCTTTTCCCTGGCTTCTCCTCTAAATGCTAGAGTGCTCCAGGAATCAGTCCTCTGTCCTCTTCTCTTTTCTCTCTGCATTCGTTCACTTGGGAATCTTATCCAATCTCAGAACTTTAAATAGTATCTATAGTCTAATGACTTTAAAATACATATTTCCAGCCCCAGCCTTTTTCTAAGTTCCAGACTCACATATCCAGCTGCTTACTCAACATCCCCAGCCGCATGTCCAATTGCTGTCTCAAGCTCAACATTTCCAAAGCTGATCTCTTGGTCTTTAACAACTCGTCAAACCTGCTCCACTCACGACTGTCCCACATTTCAGTTGACAGCATCTTCATCCTTTAAGCTGATTGTGCTAAAAGCCTTTCTGGCATCGTTGACTCTTGTTTTTCTTTCATATCCCACATTCAATCTGTCAATATTGGCTCTAAGTTCAAAATATATCTAAAATATCACCATTTCTTACCCATGATATCCAAGCCATCATTATCCCTTGCATCTTAATTCATCTCCCCACTGCCACCTTTGCAGGCCTATATTCTATTGACAACACTACAGCAGAGTAATACTTTTAAAACATGAATCAAATGATCTCACTCCTCTATCAAAACCCTGCAATGGACTTTACTCAAAATAAAATCTGGAGAACTTTTTAAAATGTAGTTTTAAAACATATCTGCAAACTTTGGGATACTCCTCACACTTCAAGGTAGAGCTGAATCTCCCTCACCTTGCTTAGGGACCAGCCTCAGCGACCAGTGACTCATTTCTAATGACTAGAATGGGATGGAAGTGACGGGGCATGACTTCAAAAGCTGGCTCTGTCTCTCTCTAGAGGCTCATGGAATTCAACTACCATATTGTGAGGAAACCCAGACCACATGGAAAGTTTACATATAGGTGGTCTGGCCACAGCCCCAGCTGAAGTCCCAACCAACATCAACCACCAGACATGTGAGGAAGCCTTAGGGATGATACCAGCCCCAGCCTTCAAGCTATACTCACGGATGCTGAGGAAAGTAGAGATATACTTTCCCACTGAGCTGTGCCCAAATCACAGATTAGTGAACAAAGTGTTTTCATTGAGTTAAGCCATAAAGTTTGGAATAATTTGTTACATAGCAATAGATAACTTAAACATAATCCTTTATAAGGCCATATGCAATATGATTCTCCTCCTCAATTCCTCTTTAACTTCATTTCTTTGACTCACTTTTTCATACCGCTTCATGCATACTGGCATCATCATTGCTGTTCCTCAAACAAACCAGGTACATTTCCACCTTGCAGCTTTTTTCTTTTTCTTTTTTTTTTTTTTTTTTTTTTTTGAGATGGACTCTCACTCTTGTTGCCCAGGCTGGAGTGCAATGATACATTCTTGGCTCACTGCAACATCTGCCTCCCAGGTTCAAGCAATTCTCCTGTCTCAGCCTCCTGGGTAGCTGGGATTACAGGTGCCCACCACTATGGCCAGCTAACTTTTGTACTTTTAGTAGAGACAGGGTTTCACCATGTTGGCCAGGCTGGTCTCGAACTCCTGACCTCGTGATCTGCCCACCTCGACCTCCTAAAGTGCTGGGTTTACAGGCGTGAGCCACCATGCCTGGCCACAGCCTTTCTTTGTGTTAGCTGTTGCCTCTGCTTGGAATGACCTTGTCCCTGATATCTACATAGCCTTTCAAGGACAAGCTTTTCCTTTGCCTCCTTCAAATCTTTGCTCAAGTGTCAGCCCCTCATTGGCAAGCCCTGGCCATCTTCTTAATACTTGCCCAAACCTCCCCGCTGGCACTCCAGGTACCCTTACCTTGCTAAACTTTCATTTTTATTTCATAGTGCTTTCACCTTATAACACACTGGATAATTTACTTATTTACTGTGGTACTATCTCTAAGATCCCCAGCTGTGCTCTTAATATGTAAACTCCATGAGGGCAGGGTTTGTTTTTTTTTATTACTGTTACTCTTCACTGCCATTTCCTGAGCTACTAGAAGAGTTCTTAGCACATAGTAGGTGCTTAGTAAATATATATTGACAGAATAGCTATATATCACTTCTTACATCTACACTTATAAGTTTCTCTTTAAGCCCCTGTACAGTTTTGAATCAAAACAAAATTATGTCCAAAGGACCACGGGATTAAAATGAGACCAACATTCTGAGAGCACTTTTCAGTTTTCCCTGAGGAAAATGATTAAGAAGGCAAGACCAGGAACCAGTCTGGAATTTTCTTTTCCTGACAGAAGGAATTCTGACAAAATTGCTACATTCTGAATAATGAAAAAATATGCTTTTAAAATGTGTCCACTCATAGATGCATAATGAAGAGCCCCCTGCCCCTTCCAAAAAAAGGAGATTCACTCAGGCTGACACATATCTTAAAAGAATATGTTTTATTTTCCTGAATCAGGGGTAATACGAGGGTGACATCAGCTCACTTGTCCTGGATTTGTGTTTCTGAGGAATTTCTGGATTACTATGATGCATGAAACATAAATCAACAGCATAAAATATAAATATACACGTTGATTAATACATACAAAGTGAACTCCTGTGAAAATACAACTTCGACAGAAGAATAGAACATTCTTATCATTCGTGTTTTCCTTCCTGGTCCTAGCCACCTCCCTCCACAAGAGGATTACAGACTGGAGTCCCCAGAAAACAGTCTCTGAAACAGAGACGAGCATGTAGGACATTTATATGGGAGTGTCTTTAAAATCAACACCTGTGGAATGAAGAAAAGAGCAAAATTAGGCAGCGAGAGAAGTTGGGCTGTGGTACAGTCCAGTGGAAGGCCTCAGTCAACCCCATAAGCAGCTGTGGGATGGCCTGCAGAGTTATCCCAAGTTGTTGGGCTGGGATTTTATAACTCAGTGTTGACCAGTCACTGGATGCATCTGCCCATGGAAGGTAAATTTCTCTTCCTCTGAGGAAATCCTCAATGAGGGCTGACCTCTGAGAGTCACCTTCCAGCAGCACTCACAGCAGCTGAAGAACAAATTCTTCATTCCTGAAGCGGGATGTAGGCAACACATCACGGCGTCTACCATGTTTCTGTCCTCACTTCAACTGTGACCACATATTTGGATTTTTTTTTCTAGTTTTACCACATAAAGGATAACAATATAATTTTAATTTTGCCTTATTTTGGAGCTTAGATAAATGAAATCCTACTGTATGCATACTTCTGTGTCTTTCTCAAATATATGCTTTTAAGATTTAGTCAATGTGGCTTAATCTTAATTCAATTTCATTCATTCATTTTCATTGTTGTACACCTTATTTTAATGTACTACAGCATATTCACACATTTCACTCTTTTTTTTTTTTTCCATTTTTTGAGACAAGGTCTCACTCTGTCACCCAGGCTAGAATGCAGTGCACAATCTCAGCACACTGCAACCTCCACCTCCCAGGTTCAAGTGATTCTCTTGCCTCAGCCTCCCAAGTAGCAGGGATTACAGGCACCCGCCAACATGCCCGGCTAAGTTTTGTATTTTTAGTAGAGATGGGGTTTCACCATATTGTCAAGGCTGGTCCAAACTCCTGACCACAAGTGATCTGCCCACCTTGGCCTCCCAAAGTGCTGGGATTACAGGCATGAGCCACCACACCCAGCCTACATATTTCACTCTTAATGAACACGTGGGTTGTTTACAACTTGGGTTTTTTTTTTAAAAATGCTGCTGTGAACATTATTCATGAATGTGGTTTTATCTTGGTCATCAAGCAAATGAGTTTTCAGGGAATATGCTTACAAGTAAAATTGCTGGTTCATAGTATTTAAATTTTTAATTTTACTAGAAAACGCCAAAACATTTTATAATATTTGCTTCCAAAAGCCATGTTTGAGAGTTCCCATTTCTCTATACCTGTATCTCTGGGGACAGGCCTGGAAATGCTTCAGTAACAACCCCCTAATTTTGGTGGATTACAAAAACAAAGGTTTCTTTCTCAATCATATTTTGTGTCCATCATGGTCAGCTGTTGAATGATCACCGCAGGCTCTAGGCTGATGGAGAAGACTCTTTCTGTAACATTGCTGTTCTCTTAGAATGTTTTACTTTTCTAGATATGTATTCATATTGTGTATGAATAGAAACTATATTATGTCTTCCTTTCCAATTATTCTGCTTCTAAATGCTTTTTCTAATCTAATTTCATTGGTGTTTTAAGTATTTTGAGGCTATATTATTACATGAATACATATATACAATTTTTATTTTTTTTTATCATTAGGAATTGATCCTAGGCCAGCCAACTGACCAACAGACTGGTAGCTGACTAGACACATGAGCAAGCCCAGTCACAACTTTTTGAAATTAATAATTACCCCAAAACTTAGTGTTTTAAAACAACAGCCATTTATTTAGCTCAGTATTCTGTGGGTCATAAGTTTGGGTTGGGTTCAGCTGGGTGGTTCTCCTGTCCTCTGCTGGGCTTGCATCTTTTAGCTTCCTAAGAGATTAGCTAAAGAAGGAATGCTTTTGTTTGCAGAACTTAGAGAGACGATAAAGGGGCAAGTAATGTTTCTCTCCTCTCCAGTCTCCTCAGACAGAAAAGACCAAAGCCCAGAAAAATAGAGTATCTTCTATGAAGTCACCAGGAAAGCTGCGGAGGGAACCAGATGCTGAATTCACATGCCCCAGTCTTGGTATTTCCCATAACACCGTAATCCCAACATTGACTCTCCAGCTGTATTACAAATATACCTTTGAGATTATTCAAAAGTTAAACGAAGAATCCACCATGAGATCACAAGAGGTCAGAAATTAAAGGAAGAACCATAAATAGTACACAGTCAGCATGATCTCCACTCAGGAGAGCTTGGGGAAAATCCCTGTATGCATTTATACATTTTGATACATGGCTGGGAACCAAGTTCTGAGCCTACCAATCGCAAACCCTCCACTTTTCTAGGATCAGTGAAATCCACTACATGTTTAAAAGTGCAAAGCAGTCAATTCACGTAATGATTAAAACCCTTAAACTTTGCAGAGCGAACCAAGCAGATGCCAAATCAGTTCAAAACACATTTTAATTCTAATTTTAGGCTACCAATTGAATCATGGTGTAAGATTTGATGCCACTTGAACTTTCTGGGTCTCAATTCTTTCATCAGATAAATTAATATCCCCAAAGCAGTGCAAGGTTATAATTAATGAAATAACAGATCCAAGGAGGAATTTAAAAACACATGAACCTTTTTACAATTGACTGATGGAGGCAGATGCCCTGGTGTCTGAAACAAATGCAGAACAAAAATAAATGCAGAATTACTAAGCAAAAAGTTGTTCTAGAGCAAGAGATATAGAAGGCAACCAACTGTTGGGGTGGCTGTGGGGCATTTCTAACAGTCTGAAAACTGGCAGGGAGTTTAAATATCAGAACTAAAGGGAGAAGTGTCAGGCCCTGTCCTGGGGAGGGGATTCCAAGATGAAGAGGCTCATGGCCTAATAAGGAGACTAATTGGCAAATGGTGTAAAATGGAGGGAAAAGGGCAAAAAGATAAGGGTATACAAGGCAGCCTATAGGAGCTACTGATTAATTCTTTCTTGAAAGGGGGCAATGGGAGATGTTTTCCTGAGAGGCAATGAGAGCTGAGCTGGGTTTTGGCACAGATAATGGATATGGTACATAATAGATGCCTATTAAATATTTGTAAATAAATTAAATAAAGGCATTTCCCACAAAAGTATCACCAAGGGCAACAGCATAGGTGAATGGAATATGGCGTTTCCAGGAAATGGTATTGCTCAAATGAAAAGTTGGAGGGTCAGAACAACCGCCACCATAGGTGAGGCTAGAGATGAATGCAAAGGCTAGATCTCTGAGAACTTGCACAAATGATTTTCGTTGTGTCCTGTTGGATTTTGGAAGCTAGGGAAATTTGAAAACAATGCAAAAAGACATTCCAGGTAAAGGAACTATGATGAGTGTGGTTTGTGCTCTGCAGTTCCTGCTTCAAGGAAGAACTTGTTGCCCCACCTGCTAGGAGTGCTGTGAGCAGAAAGGCTTCAGCTGGTCGACTTTAGAGCCTGCCACAGTTTCAGAGCTGCCACGTCCACAGGTATGCCCTTCTGGGTGATGGAGGCAGGGGATACAGACCCAGCCAAGTTAGCCCACACTGGGGTAACTCACACAAGCCCACTTAGGTCCAGAGATCCCTGTGGGGTTGGCCGAGGCTGCCATCACAACTGACCTGCACTGCAGTTCAACTTCTCTTTCAGTCCACTCCTACTTCCACCCAGGCCAGAACCACAGGGGTGGGGTGGGGTAGGGTGGGGTGGGGTGGGGGTGGGGGTGGGGGCAGCAGATGGAAGAGCAGGGAATCTGAGGCAGAAATCAAGCCCATCCTCCCACCCCTGTGGCTCTGACTTTCAGAATTCTTTGGTGGCAGCTAACGGTTTGGAACAAATGCAGTATAGCTCAAGGAGCCCTGGTCTCGGGATAAAAAGGAGTTCAAGGCCAGTTTCTGTTACGGGTCTGAGCCAAGCCACATCACTTCTGTAAGATAGTTTATCCCAAAAAGGGGATGAACAATGCCAACATCCCAGATTTAGTGGTGGGGCTGGGCAAATACATGACATAACATGGGAAAGTGCTTTATAAACTGTGTATACAGTAAGAGTGGGTATGAATATTGAAACAATAGACAGTTGTTTCTGCCCTTGGCTATATTGTTGCTACCTCGGAATTTATGGAGTGTAAGGTTTATGTTGAGAGTCAGAGGACCTCCGTGAAAGGGTTATACCGCCACCTAGTAAACACAGGGAGAACTGCAGTTGGATCTCATGAATGTTCCAAGGATGTGTAAACTTTAAAATCCTAAGCTCCTACGGGCTGAATGGACTCTCTCTTGGCAAAGGGAACCCCAGAAATACCTTAAAACTGTATTCCCAGCCATGACGGGATGGAAAGTCAGACATGCCTGGTTATACCTCCTCCTTTTAGAGTTTAGACACAACTGACCAGCATTAATGTTAAAATAGGGATCATAAGACTGACAGAGGAGACTTTTCATGGCAATAAGATACCAAATTATAAACAGGACCTAAGACCATACCAGGCAAAGGGTTAAGTCACACACTCCTGCACTTAAAGAATCAACTATGTTCTAACTGCCACAAGGTTTCTCTTTTTCTCCAGCAGCTAAACAAGCACTGGCCTCCAGATAAACAGTATTAAAACAATTACAACTCATCCAGCTCACAGATGCTGATTCACTGAACCCCTGTTCCACCGACCAGAAACAGCTTTGACTGGACAAGAGGCTGAATTCAGTAACTTTCTCCTGATGAGAAGACCACCAGCCATGGACTGGTTCTTGCTGGTTTACAGAGACTGCACACCTGTGTACCTTCATGTCCTGAAAAGATCTTTTGACATAGGGGCTAGGTATAATACATTTCATCTATTCATTTCAAAATGAACATCGGTCATAAGTTACATGTATGTTTATCTAACATGCCTGTGTCAGGACCACTTTCTTGAATACTCAGCTCCTCCTGTAACTTGTTGAACATGTATGTTTAGCCAACCTTTTCAGCATAAAACTCCTACCCCAACCCCTCCTCCTTCCAAACGCCTGTCTCTGGTCTTGGCTAGAGGCAGGCTTCCCAGCCTGTGGGACAACCACCTTGCAGGCTGTAACCTTTTATAAGAATTAAAGCCTCTTCTCTTCTAAATTTATAAATTATGTTTTTTCTTAAGTTAACAAGTGGGGACAATCAACACACTTGAATGTTTCTTCCCAATGATCTTCTTATTATTGAAACTTTGCCTTGGTGTTCCCAACTCCTGGACATAGGAAGGGAAGAATGGGAATAAGAAATAGAAAATAAATCACAGTTCAAATCAAATACCATCCTCAGGATAGATCACTTTGGCCATTTTATGCTCAGGCAGCTGAAGTTATGCCTAAAACAGAGAAATGCATATACCCATTCATATGATGAGCAGCTCTGTGGCAGGATGGAGCATCTGCCATTTAATTCCCGTCAAAAAATCAGTTGCTTGTACTGTGTTAAGGAAGAAAAAGAAGATAGTATATTCATTCATTAGAAAAAGCCTGGATTATATCAAAACGGTTACCTTTGGGAGAAAAGATTATAGGTGATCTTTATTTTTTCCATGTGCATTTCTGTGTCTTATAGATTTGCTACCATGAACACAGTCATCCTTTTGTGATCATATTAAAATGATTGTTATAAAAATAGAATTTAAAATGTGCTTCTTTGAACATTTTGTATAAAGCTGATTCCATCCCACCTGCTATGTCACCAGACTGTGTGGAGAAACACACAGATTATAGCAGTCACACTTACAGAACCAGGAACTTACCAGAGAGCAACTCCATCCTGTGTCCCTGGGGGAAAACCAGCTGCTTGTGATCAGTTATGGACTGAATGTTTGTGTTTCCCCAGAATTCATATGGTCGCCTAATGTGGCTATAGTTGTATTTAGGGCCTTAGGAGGTAATTAAAGTTAAATGAGGTCATACGAATGGTCCCTAGTCCAATAAGAGTGGTGTGCTTATAAGAAGAGACACCAGAGGCAGGTGCAGTGGCTCATGCCTATAGTCCTAGCTACTCAGGAGACTGAGGCAGGAAGATCATTTAAGCCTAAGACATTGAGGCTAGCCAAGGCAATATTGGTATAGTGAGGCCCGTCTCAAATGAAAATAAAAAAAAAAAAAAAAAAAGGCACCAGAGAGCTTGGGTCTTTTCTCTCTTGCTGTCTTTATGAGCATGCACTGAGGAAAGGCATGTGAGGACCCAACGGGAAGGTAGTCATTTGCAAGCCAGGAAGAGTGCCCTCTGTGCTGCGATCTTGAACTTCTAGCCTCCAGAACTGTCAGAAATAAATTTCTGTGGTTTAAGCCCGTGGTATTTTGCTATGTCAGCCCCAGCTGACTAATGCATGATCTTACAAAGACCCCAAGCCGTGCATCCTCAGTGCCCCCACAGATCTCCTCCACACAGTTCCCAATTCTGTCTGGAAGCCAGGCCCATGGTTAGAGGCCCAGAGAATCAAGCCATGAGGCAGAGGAAAATCTCACAAAAAACACGATTTTCCTTAATATCTTTGCTGCAAAATGTTTCATCCATGGTGAACGTAAAGCTTTCATTTCACTTTTCATTAATAATGTCAGCCTTAATTGTTGAGTCACCATGTTTTGAAGGACAGAGGCCACTATAATGGGTGCCAAAGGGTTGGTCTCATGGAAAAATCACGGCTGTCTCTTCATCAACCACAATGTCACAAAGTATAGCACAGATTGCAGTGAGCAAGGATCACACACAGTCTCATGCCAAATGATTTAATAAAGAATGCCTTTATTTATCTACATTAAGTAGTAAGTATGAAGTTCGTTCACATTAGATGTCCCTTCTTCCATGCCCTCTCTTTGACTAATATTTCCCTATTCTCTGGTGGTGAAAAAAACAAACCAAGTTTCGATTCATTTCTGAATTAGGTTTTTCTCACTGCTTACACTGATTTTTATTTTGCTACATAGCACCCCCAAATTTTAAAATAATATTATAAGTTCAAGTTTATTTTTCATTCCGTTCTAATTCATTTAAATATCTTTCAGTTACTTTTTTAACTATTAGAATTCAGTCCTCAAGTCACAAATCATCTGGCCCAAGTCCTTGTTGGCGTGAAAACATTCAGACGTTTAGGAATCTGATGTCCAAGGTGTTGGAATGGGCTGTCACTTCTGAGCTGTGAGGTCCTGCCTCAGCCCTGGTAATCTCCATTTCATCAGCATTAAAAGCTCTGCCTTTAACAGTAACAGGGCTCTGCTTGTACTGTTACTGTATTGGGACACACCAAGCCTCACATTCTTCCTTGGTTTCAAACCGGTTGGCATTGCCGCCACAGCTGCCACACCAGAACTGCTGGCAAACCCGTTCCTCCTTGTTGTAATGCCACTTCAGGGTGTGATCCTGACACTCGCCTTCCATTGGATCCATGGAACAAGGACCTGCAACAAAATAAATACAGAGCTGAATTTCCTGCATGAGCATGACAGAAAAAGAGCAATGGTTTGGAGTCACAGACCTGGGAATGAATCTCAGCCTCACCACCAACTAGTTCTGTGACCTTAAGCAAGTAATTTAACCCCTCAGAGCCTCAATTTCCTCAGCTATAAAAGCAATATTTTTAAAAAACTTCTATATCACAAGTATGTTATAAAGTGTCATATAACATATGTGAAATGTGCAACATAGTTATAGCTATGACTTTGCACAGTACCTGGAAGACATGCCACAGATAATGTACACATGAGGGAATAAGTGAATGAATATTAATAAATCTTTCTGATACTGAGCACTCCTCACTTGTGTATTATACTGCTTTCCCTCCTTTTGCAAACCATCCCAATCCCTTGTCTCCAGTCTTCTAATGACCTAAGGAAATCTAGCTTATTTATTATTTATAGTACCCTGGCTCTTGCCTGAGAAATTAAGACATCTATTAAAGGAAAAACATGATGTTCCTGAACAATTAAAAACAGCATTGGAAATCAACACATTACAACAAAGCAAGATCTGAGACTCCCTGAATTTTACATGAGGCAATGATTTTCCCAGGTATATAACCCTCCCCACCTCAACTTCTAGGGAGAACAGATTTCCTTGGGTATCCTTTGTATCACACAGAAGTATTTCTGATCCAGGTTGGCCCTGAAGCACAGAATGCTGCCATCCTCCCCACAGTTCCTCCTAGGCCTTCCATGTACCCTTAAATAAAGAGGATACTATCTTCAAAAACACAAGCCTTAAAATTCATGCTTTGTTTCTGTGAAACTATCTGCTAACCTCCCAATAGTATAATCGGCACAGACTAGTTTTCTAGGAGAGGTGACCAGATGTACTGTACCCACAGGGATGAGATATGCTCTTAGTACGGTAAGAAATTGATCATGGAAATAGTCCTATGCTTTGAGTAGTCATATTTGAATTTGCTCACTGCATGACCCCTACTCTGGAGGATATAAGATAACAAGCAGTACAGGCCCAGGAGAAGTAAGAGAAATACTTATTCAAAAACCTGTTGTTGTCAACAGAAAAACACTCCAATGGTGAACTCTTTGCTGTACTCTCTAGAGCCAACAAATAGACTCGGGTTAGTTATCAGCCGGCACCAACCTCTGCCGTTACAACTGATTCTGAACTGACAAACCAAGAATTCATTCAAATATATCCATCACTTTTCCTAGGGACACTCTGTCATCTTTAGAACCTCCACCCTTGCTTTGGGTCTGAGAGACAATCAAACAGGGACTGCTCTTCCTAAATTAGACTTCTAGAGTAGCACTTTCTATAACGATGAAATGTTTAAAATAACGGAAAATCTGTGCTGTCCAATACAGTAGCCACCACTCCCATGTGGCTGTTGAGCATTTGAAATGTGGCTAGTGCAATCAAGGAACTGAAATTTTAATGTTATTTAATTTTGAATTATTTACATTTAAATGTAAATAGCCAATGTGGCTAGCAGTTATTACATTGGTCATTACGGCTATAGGTGAAAGAGTCCTTCATGCTTTATGCTAATTATCTCTAAATTATCATTGTAGCTTAACACTCAGAATACCACTAGTCTTAATTTTTCTTTTACCAGTATGTTAAGGCATTGAGGGCCAACAAATTTTTACCCAAGCAATTATCGCTAGCCCCCAGTCTTATATTTGGCTTTATTTTTTACCATGAATATTAACCTTTGCCTTCTTGGAAGAACTATGCGGTGGCAGTAACAATTTTACTCACAGTAGTTCTTGGAATCCAGGAGTAAAGAAAGGTAAAGGTGAAGAAAAAGAAAAGAGTTGGCAGGTATAAAGAGCAGCTACAATGAAATTATAATTTTGCTCCAGCTTATTCTATTCCCTGGCATATATGTCTTATAGCCCTACTTGGAGGGGAAAACCAAAAAATTGGTCTGTGTGCTTTGGATATAACACTGAACTTGAAAATGTACCAAGATCAGCCTGGCACCTGCGAAGAGAGATAACTCATTTAATTCTTTACAGGTAGGCGCAATGAAAGGTAGCAGGCACTATGGCAGAATTTGTCTTAAGATTCAGGAGCACCAAGGAGGCTGTGAAAATTTAAAACTACCTGGGGGCATAGAAAAAAACTCTAAGGAGAGGTGAAACTTGAGCTGAGTAGTAAAAGATGAGTAGATATAGCCCACGTGGACACTGTGGAGGAAATATAGACAGTCAGGTGAGGGTAAGCAATGGTACAGAGATCTGGAATAAACTGCGGGGCATAAAGGCCACGAAAGGCATATGCAGGGAAGTGGCAGCCAGTAAAGCCCCAGAGGACCAAAGCAGGGGTCTAATTGTAAAGGCCCATGTGCCTTCCACAGGCACCTGAACATTATCTTATAAACAATGAGGAACCATAGAAGAGGAGAAGGGACACAACCATATTTGTGTTTTAGAAATGTCAATCAGCTGTTTAGAATGGAACTGGAAGGAGGACAAATTGGAAGAAAGCAGACCAGTTAGACAGCAGGAGGCAAGGGAGAAGAGGTCAACTAGAATAATATTGGGCAATCAGGCATTTTTTGAAAGAAGACATCCAAGCAGCCAACAAATGTGAAAAAATATTCAACATCAATAATCATCAGAGAAATGCAAATGAAAACCACAACGAGATAGCATTTAGAGTAGTCAGAATGACTATTACTAAAAAGTCAAAAAACAACAGATGTTGGTGAGAACGTGGAGAAAGGGAACGCTACTGGTGGGAATGTAAATTAGTACAATCACTATGGAAAACAGTATGAAGAGTTCTCAGAGAACTAAAAATAGAACTGCTCTTCAATCCAGCATCTCCACTTCTGAGTATCTGCCCAAAGGAGAAGAAATTATTATATCAAAACGACACCTACACCCGTATGCTCATAGGAGCACTATTCACAATAGCAAAGTCATGGAATCAACCTAAATGCTTATCAACGAATTAATTTGATTAAAAACGTGGTATATATACCATGGAATACTACTCATCCATAAAAAAGAATGAAATCATGTCTTTTGCAGCAACATGGATAGAATTGGAGGATATTATCCTAAGTGAAATGATACAGAAATAGAAAGTCAAAAACTGCATGTTCTCACTTATATGTAGGAGCTAAACAATTGGTATATGTGGACATACAGAGTGGAATAAGACATTGGAGACTCCAAATGGTGGGAGGGCTGGGGCAGGGGCAGGGGCAGGGGTGTGTAGGATGAGATACTATCTTTTGGGTACAATGTACACTATTTGGGTAATGAGTACTCTAATAGGCCAGACTTCACCAATATGCAATACATCCACATGTACTTGCACTCCTAAATCTAATTAATTAATTTTTTAAAAATAATACTGAGTTTTGGCTTTCTATTCCTGGGCCACTGGTGGTTCATACCAATAAAGATAGTTGGTAAAGGAAGAGAAGGAGATTTGAATGGGAAAGACAATGAGTTGGGTTTGTTGAACTAAGCTGGCTTGATGTGACTGCAGGGAAATCCAGTGGAACGATCTGGAGGGTAATTGAATACACTATGCTATAGCACAGGAGAGAGTTAAAGTGGAAGATATGGATTTGAGAGTCACCAGCACAGAGGGGATAGTCGATGTTGTGGGGGCGGGGGGGAAAGCATACCTAAGTAGTGTGGTGTGTGCAGAGTGTTTGGAGGACTGAAGAAAGAATCTTGGGGAAGGGTGTAGCAGATTCATCATGACATTAATAAAGCCTAGGCTTCACAGCAAATCATTTGCATAAGGCTCTTCTAAATGAATATTCACTTTTCACTTAATTTTAATAATTTTTTAAAATCTTTTTCTTAAAGAGGGCCCCCAAATTGTATAAATTCCATAAAACCTGAATCCCCCTGTGAAGGTGGATCTGGGAAGAAGAGCCCACAAAAACGGACTGGCCAGAATAGAAGAACAAGAGGAGAATGTTGTCTCCAAAGCTGTGAGAAGAGAGGGTTTAAAGAGGAAGGTAGTGGCCAACAGTGGCCAGATCCCAAGAAGCACAAGTCAACAAGGTCTGGAAGAGCCCTTTGGTCTTTCTTGACGATTCAGAATAAGAGAAGGGCCAGTTCTTTTCTCCAACTGGAGGGCAGGAAGAGAGGCTTGCAGAAATACAGAAAGTTACAGGAGGTTGTGCTCGGTCACCTTTATTTCTTTTGAAAAGAATAAAAAAAGAGGGAGGCATATCTGCTAGAGGAAGAGGCATGGAGGAAGGACCTTGAGGAGGTGGTGAGGGTTTCGAATGACCTTGGAATGAAAACTGAAAGGAAACTGGCCAGCCAGAGCCACGTAACAACAGAGCGGCTGAGAAGTATCAGGGACCTTCAAACCTCAGTTTTTGTCTGTGAATGGGATTGGATTAGTTGACTAGGAAACTCTCCCCCATCCTTTCCACCTTGATTTTATGAGAAAGAATGCCTTAAAGCAGTAGTTCTCACTCTTGGTTGTTCAGTGGAATCACCGGGTAAGTCCTACACCCAGAGATTCTGACTGATTTGGGCTGAGGTCAATGTTTAAAGATCCCCAGGTGACTCTAGTGTACAATCAAGACTGAAAATCATTACCTTAGTAAGATTACCTGAGGATATTCTATACTGAAAACATAAGAACCAACAAGGTAAGTTATTCTATGTTTAATATTCTAGCCTAAGGAGGTGGTATTCCTATGTCTGTCTGATTCTGTTATTTATTTTGGACATGTGTTTGCTTTGAAATCTAAAAGGTAGCATGTATCATCAGCATCTTAACTAACTTGTGTGGATGTATACTATGTGGCAAACACATGAATTATCAAGTTGTATTCTCAAACCTATGAGGTAGGGACTCATATAATCCCCACTTTGCAGAGCAGAAAACTGAGTCACCAAGAGAGTGAATAACTCCCATGGCCACCTAGCCAGTAGCCCCAGATGGAGAATTATCTAGGCACATTCAAAACCTCAGATAAATGATCTCTCCTTTAATGTAACCAGGACTAACCACACCACTCACTAGAAACTCTTTCAGCTATCTTGAATCAGTTTCCAGAACTTCACAGAGAAGTTTTCCTGTATCTCTTTCTCATGTGTTTAGTGTTCTGCTTAATTTGCTGATCACATATAAAAAGTAACTTGGCAGCAAGTGCAGTGGCTCATGCCAGTAATCCCAGCACTTTGGGAGGCCGAGGCAGGAGAATCACCTGAGGTGAGGAGTTCAAGACCAGCCTGGCCAACATGGTGAAACCCTGTCTCTACTAAAAATATAAAAATTAGCCAGGCTTGGTGGCGGGCTCTTGTAATCCCAGCTACTCAGGAGGCTGAGGCAGGAGAATCGCTTAAACCCAGGAAGCGGAGGTTGCAATGAGCCGAGATCATGCCACTGCATTCCGGCCTGGGTGACAGTGAGACTCTGTCTCAAAAAAAAAAAAAAAAAAAGGAACTTGGCATTTGCATTACTGCATGCTGTAATCCAAAATTGATGCTACAGTTGTTTTAGATGTATCCAAAATGTAGAGCCTGTCTCCAAGTAGGTGCATTTCAAGGTCAGGAGTATCTTCACCACTTCTGCAATAACTCATTGCTTCTCTGCAAAGGTAGTGCAGACACTTCATAGAGTGTGCCTTCATAATACGCCCTGAAATAACTTTCATCCAGCTCCAGTTCGACAGCCAGGTGAAAGTTAGCCTTTGTCTTTCTTTTTAAACTATTTTCTTTAGCTGCATACATGAACCTGTGGATTTGTAAGCAAAGTGAATTTTAAAAAATTGCATGCTAACACAGTGCACAGGATTTTTTTTAAGAAAAAGTTAAAAATGAAAAAAGTGAATCCAACTTAAGGACCAAGAAGTAGTTTGGTTTTTACCATAGGTAGTGTCTGCATTTATTTCTTTTCTAGTTTCTTTTTGTTTTGCTGGTGTTTCTTGTTCATTTTCTTCAATGTCATATTTGTTATTTTCATAATTTTCAAGTGCTTCTTGCTGAGTTATAGATGTTGTGATGTCTTTTCTCTTCTCTTCTAGAAAAATGCCTGTTGCTTCAAGTGCTTCCAAATCATCAGCCAAGCCAGACATACCAAACTGGTGCCTGGGCAACCTGTATAGAAACAATCCATGTCAAACTGCATGAAAAAAATCTCAAGAACTGAGAGGCTCAACTGTTGTTACTGTTATTGCTGTGATTTGTAAGCCTTATGTTTGGGCATTTCCTAATGACTGTATTATTGCATTAACTATTTTCTTAGCTTTGCAGACATATTTGAAAAATCAGAATGATATGTTTAGCATTATCAATTTTACCTCTGGGATATGGAATTCAAGCTTGGGGCGATATGGTAGAATGGAAATTGGTAGAAATTGGTAGAATGCCAAGACCAGCCTTGGCAACATGGTGAAACTATCCCTACAGAAAGTACAAAACCAGCAGGGTGTGTTGGCATGGGCCTATAGTCCCAGCAATGTGAGAGGCTAAGGCAGGAGGATTGCTTGAGCCTGGGAAGTGAAGGCTGCAGTGAGCCGAGGTTATGCCACTGCACTCTAGTCCGGGCAATAGAGCAAAACCCTGTCTGAAGAAAAGAAAAGAAAGACAATCCATATCAGAACTGTCAAACCCAGGAGCATCCCAGGACCAGTGGTTTAGGTCAAGTTGAGGACTAGCATTGCATATGACCTTTCTTTAGGGAGAAAGTCTCTTCTGCCTTGGGGCAGAGGTATGGACCAATCTCAACCCTGTCCTCAACCCACCTGTTGACAGGTGTGACTAATTGCAGCACAGTGTCCCCACGGTGTAGGCCCCCACATTCTTCAGTGAGCTCTGGGGGTGGGTACTGGTTTGTCCCACCTAAAAGTAAAATAAAAAATCAAGTCAAATATAAAATAATATAAAATTCTAAAATAAAATAAAACAAAATATTATTCATGAAGACATCAAATTCAAAACATAAAATCAAGTAAAACAAAGTGTAAAATATAAAATAAAACAAATGAAACAAAATGAAATAAAACATAACAATATAAAAATAAAAGCAAATAAAACATTAATGTTTTTAATCCTGGAAGACATAAAATCAAAAAGACATAAAATATATTCACATAAAGCATAAAATAAATATAATATAAAAGCAAATAAAACAAAATAAAAACATAAAATGTATCCTATTATGTAAATAATGCAAAGTAAAATCCAACCTAAGAGAAAAACAAAATACAAAATACAATCTAACATAATACAATATAAAAAATAAAGTAAAATTAAATTAAAACAGATTAGAAAAGTGATTCCTTCAGGCCGCTTCTCCTTCAAAGAATCTCTAAGCCATCAGCCTTCTATTACCACTCCCCACATATATAAGAAATCTAAGGTTCAGAGACATTCATGAACTTTTCTAGGATCACATAGCTCACTAATGGCAGAGCTAGGACTAGAACTAATTCACTGATCTTTGTACCTCTCAAATTGGAGAGGTACAAATGCTGTGTTAGTACTTCTAAGATGTCCATCAAACTCCTTTTATTCTTATAGTGATGAAGGCGAAGATGTCCCTCAAGGCTCCCAGTGGGCTACCACAACCACCTATAAACTGAGAAACTAAAGTCTCCAAGCAAGGAGGGCAAGGAGGCTCCACATGTTACAGCAAAGCACCCTGCACATAAGTTGAATTATGCACTGGAGGATGAAACCCAAGACAAACTGCTAACAATGTGACCAGGATAATACCCTTGCCATCGCAATTCTAAATCTCCATTATCATGCTAGGGATACAGATTTGGCTGCCCACGAATTTAACTCATCTAGTTATAAGAGAAAAAACAATAACAATTCCACTAGTTCTAATTGGAGTTAAGGATGCTCGAGCAGGGGGATGGGAAAGAATTCTGGCTAGGACCCACTGGCACAGCCCTTGCCCCTTAATCTTCACTGTTGGCTTCATCAATCCAACCTGAAATGGAAGACCCTAGACTTTTGTCCTGTCTCCCTTACTTCCTAGTGAGTCCCTGAAAACCCCTGACTCCACACTGCCATGTCAACCTCTACTTTAAAATAAACATCAAATAAACTAGGATCATTGGTATCATTCTCAAGCTTGTAAGAAATGCAGACTCTTGTCTCCAATGCAGACCTACCGAATCACAATCTACATTTTAACAAGATCCCCAGGAGATTCATGTGCATGTAAAAACTTAAGAAGCACTGTCAAATACTATTGGAAACTGCAGTAATAAATAGTAATAGCAGTAACTATGCCTTATATGTGTACAATATTGGTGCTTTCAAAGCCCCTCCCTGAACATATGGCTTCACAATTAGAGAAAAGACTGCAATTCTCATTTTGACAAATGAGAAAATTGAAAAGTTATGTGGAAGTCTGAGGCTCCCAGCCATGAACTTCTCCCCTATGAGAAGTTCAGGACAAAAAACCATCACAAGGCTTGACACAATGTCAGGGCGGTAATAGTGCAGGGTTTTCAGGAAATGGGGTGCTCCCTGGCTTTTCCCAGGGATGCTGGGCTACAAACATTAGGCAATAGTGAATCTGCAACAGGCACCTGCATGCCCAAATGCCAGGCTCTGTAAATCCCTCTCCCCACTCCACCCAAGGTGCCCCAGTTCCCGGGGACTGCTCACTTTTTAGGAGGTTCAGGAAGGCCCGAGTGAATCCCTGAGCGTAGTTAACCTCTGGCTCTGAGACCCCTTGTAGGCGCAGTAGATGCTGCTCAGAGGGAGCACTGACCAGCTCGGCTAGCTCGGCTAGCTCATGGGTCCCCACACCCGGACCCAAGGCCAGCACAAAGAGGGTAATGCCCTTGCATTTGGCCTCCAGGGACAGAGTCCATAGCTTCTCCCTGTCCCAGCTACTTGTCTCGCTGGCCACGATGGCGAAGAGGACTTGTGCCTTCCGCGGCCGAGGGGCTGCCAGGAGCACATTCTCCAGCGTCCACTCCAGGGCGTGGCCCAGGGGGGGCGGTTCCCTGTAAGGGGCGGGCTGAAGCCTCGCGCACATGTCTCTGCATCTGCTTCCGGTTGCCATAGGTGGTCAAGTGGAAGCCCTCGAGCACAGGGAGGCAACCCACACCCGGCCAGAAGTTGGGTGTCGTGTGCGTCACCAGGGCCACACGCGCCCCACGGTGGGACGCGCCCGGCTGCTCAGCCACCTCCAGGTCTTCTAGCGCGGCGTCCGCTAGACTCAAAGACCCGCGGTACACGTCGGCATCCACTCCATAGGAGCTGTCCACCACAAATACCAAGTCCACGTCCACCTCCTGGGGCCCCGGCGTGCCAGCCGGGCATTCTGGGTCTGGTCTGCATTTGTCTAGGAAGGAAGTGCAGGGAGAGGCCGGAGTTAAACCACGCATCCCCTTCTTTTCCATGCAAAACACAGTTCCAGACCCTCAGTAAGGACAGCTGTCTCTGAGCACTATCCTCCAGGCATTGTGGTGACGTGGCAAGTCAATGGGCACTGTAAATGGGCTCATTTCTCATAAGAAGAATTGAGATCAATTGCACACTTAATGTTTTCAACCACTAGGCCATATGGCTTCCCAGTCTCTGTGTTCACAGACATCACCTCTATTTCCTCCTCCAAAAAATAATTATAATCTAATAATAGATTATAATCTAACAATAGATAAATCAACACTAGTGGGAAACCACGTAAAAAAACATTGATTGCTAGAGCTGCAAGTGACCTTAATGACCATATGAAAGTGCCTTTTTTTTAAGGTTAAGAAAAAAAGATCAAACATTGCCAATTTTAAATGAAAAGCTAATAGTGTAGTCTTAGAGCTCTCAAGCTGGTTCAGCATCGAAATGGCATGTATAATTTTTTTTTCTTTTTTTACTGTAGATTCCCAGGCTCCAGCCACGTCAAGATTCTGGTTTGGTAGTGTTGGGAGGGAGCTCAGAATCTATCATTGAAATGTATGCAGGTATTCTGATGAACAACGGTGTTAGAGACCCACTGCTGGGCCAAAATCTTTCATTTAGAACTGGCGGGGGCAGGTGTTCTTAACCTGGGAACCACAGTCTCCCAAGGTGTCTGTGAATGAGGATGGGAAAAAATTACATCTTTATTTTCACTACCTCTATTGAAATGAAATTTAACATTTCTTTTCACTGTGCATAAAGACAACAAACAACTATAATACCAGTGATTCCGACACCAATAGAAATCACTGATTTCCTTATCAGTGGTTGCAAATGGCTCAATATTATTTGCACTCACTAATACTTTGAAATAATAGTTATTAGACCTGCTAGATCTTATCATTTAAAATGCTAATAAAGAAGCACATGACAAATGGGTTAAGAATGTGGTATATATACACAACAGAATACTATTCAGCCTTTTTAAAAAGCAGGAAATTCTGTCATTTGTGATGTGGATGAACCTAGAGGACATTATGCTAAGTGAAATAAGCCGAGTACAGGAAGACAAATATTGTATGATCTCACTTGTATGTGGAATATAAAAAGTTCAAACTCATAGAAATAGAGCATAGGGAGAGCGGCAGGGAGGTGAATGGGGAAAGGAGGTACATTAGTCAAAGGGTACAAAGTTTAAGTTAGACAGAAGGATAGGTTCTGGTGGTCTGTTGCACAGCATGGTGTTATAGTCAGTAATAATGTATTGTATATTTCAAAGTAGCTTTAAAAAGTGGATTTTAAACATATTCACCATACACAAGTGATAAGTATTTGAAGCAATTGTTATGTTAATTGGCCTGATTTGATCATTCAACAATGCATACATGCATTGAAACATCACTGTGCCCCAAAAATTTATATAATTATTATTTGCCAATTAAAAATAAAACTTTTAAAAATATATATTGCTATATCAAAATTTTTAAGTATTTTGATAATGTCAATGTAATCATTTTCCTTTGTAATCCTGTTTTTTATTTTCTGCATTGAAAAACATTATTCTAAGGAGAGCATAGGTTTAACCAGATGCAGAAGGGATCTATGATACCAAGAAAGGTTAAAAACTCCTAATTCAGTCATTAGCAAAGCACAGGGGTAATAGTCAAGAGTTCAGCAACCCGGCTGCCTGGTTCACTCCAGGTCTATTCCTTACTCAGCATGTGACCTTGGGTAAATTACTTAGTCTACCAGAACCTCAGTTTCCTCATTTGACACATGGAGGTAATGATGATGATAATAATAGTACTTCCTTTTGAGGTTGTTTATGAAGTTTAAAAGAAAAACTGAGTTCATATATATGTAAGTGTTCAAAACAATGCCTGATGCATAGTAAAACCTCGATGAACACTAGCTAGGTTTAGGCTTCTAGAGGAGAGGGAACTGAGGCCCAAAAAAGCAATGTGTCAGATTAGATGATGGATGTGAAAGCAGTTCACAGTAGATGATGGATGTGAAAGCAGTTCATCACCTGTGACATACTCACAAATGGCAGTTACTACACTTGACTTGACCAAGTTGTCATAGCTGAGTATCTTGTGGTAGTACTGGGCTTAGTGTGGATCAAACACAGAAAACCATGACATCCCTTCAAGTTTACCCACTCTGGTGCTAGGTAAAATGGGTGTGGACAGGAGCTCTTCACATATAGGCATGCACGCGTTTCAGCAGAAACTTCTCTCCAGCACAGGTTGGTGTGGGATACAGCAATGGAGGATGGGAACCAAGACAAACTGGATGACTGGCCAGTATCCCACTGCTGGTCAATGGTGGTTCCAGGCCTAGAACCTATCACTCTTAATTCTTAGTTCAGTGGCCTGCCCGTCACACTAAGGTGCACTAAGGCAGGAACCACAAGCCCAGCCAACCCAGCAGCTAGCAGGACAGATAAATGAGCAGAGCATGCCAGGAGTAAGATAGGGAGGGGTAAGGACTGTGAGACTCCTCACCCCATTAAGAGGGGTCAGGCCCAACTCAGCTGTGCTGACTGTTTCTCATGGGAATGCAGTGTCTGTGACTCTCATGATAAGTCTGACTTCCTAAGAAAAACCAGAAATCCAGACTTCATAGGAAATTCTCTAGATTTTAAAACCCTGCACATGCCAAGTAAATACACATCTGCCGAGCAGAGCTAGCCTGTGGCCACCAGTGAATTCATCCTGTTCTAAAGGCTGTCCTGGCTTACCATAGCAGAGAATACAGCGGGCCACGTGCTCCACATCCTGCTGGCGCTCTGTCTCCCAGACGTACAAGTAAAATCTGTTGGTTCCATCCATCTAATCCAAACACACACACACACTCAAGTTTATGATTAGCTGGAGTAATTTCAGGCCATCTTTTTCATGTGTTTTCTTATTCAGATGAGAAAAACATGAATATGATTTTTAAAGGATATATAATTATATAAATATATGTACAAATAACTCAGCATTATACATTCCAGTTATTTATTGCTATTTAGTTCCCTAGTTCTAACCTGGAGGTTGGACTGTCATTGGTGTGGGTATGTGTATCGTGGGTCTTCAGACTCCCAATATGTGTAAAACTCAGCCAATATCACACATCGGAATGGGAGTAAGGAGACAACGTTAAATCATTTGTAAACTTCATAAATCTTTATTAATTGTTCACGGAATGCAGTGTGGTGGGAGCTATTGACCTGAATGGCAGACTCTTCAAAGGGGCAGTCGTAAATGTCAAATACCATTAGAATGGAAACAGTAGACACCATGTGGGAATCCTCTCTAGAGTATTCCTGGTGGTCAGAGCTAAACATATCACAACCAGAATATAAGAGTGAAGAGGGATCAGGGAAGGCTTTAGAGAGATATAAATTTATCTCCTTTATTTAGTTTATCTCCTTTACTTAGCCTTTTCAATTATGATTAATTTAACAACTAATAACAATGCTTAAAAGCAAAATATTAACAATAAATCCAACAAGGTCCATGGGTCAACTAGTTAGATGATCAGCAAACCCCTTCCTTCTTCTTCCTAGGGCACAGCTGGACTACATTTCCCAGCCCCTCTTGCAGTTAGGTGATGCCTACTGACTGGGGTCTAGCCAACGGGATGCAGGTAGAAGTGACATATGTCATTTCCAGTGCATGCACTGTACTCCATTACTCCCTCTCCCCTCATCTGCCAGTCAGGTGAGGAGGATCCAGAAAAAGGCTTTGAGGCCCTACGATATAATGGGGCCGCTGACAGAAGCAGCCCACATCCCAAAACAGTGGCACGTAGCAAAACATGCCTTCTCCCACACAAACATACACAAGGGCCCATATCCACTTATGACAGGTGGCAGAAATAACCACTTATGTTTGTTAAGACACTGAGACTTGGAAAAGAAGGTTTCACAGTTAACCTGCCATGACTTATACAGACAATTTGCAGAATGTCAAACTCATGATGAAACTAGAAATGTTTCTCTCAAGATTTGAGGTGTGGTTTACAAAGAGGTGGATGTCTAAGCTTAGTCATGTCCATCTTTGTATCTACTGTCTGGCAAAGCATGCAGAAAAGGGCCCCACTGAGAGTCAGCTTCTCCTCCTTCATCTGTGTGGGCAGGAACAAGCAGGCTCTGGGCCCTCCTCCAGGTAGCAACATGCTGAGGATATGAAGATGTTAGATGCTGAGGATATGAAGATGTCAGGCTAGACCTCAGGAAGATAGACAGTCAGGGGTTAATTTGCAAACAAAGTTTCTTAACATTACAGAGCTCTTCACTCTTTCTGCTCGGGACTGTAGTGTATCCCAAATATTGTCTTTCAGAGTCAGATTACTTGAAAAAAAATCCTAGTGGGAAAAGAAATATGAAGAGTTCAATGTTTATGCTAACGTAACACAGAAAACCATGGGAACAGGCCTAAGTCTCCTAAGAATAAAAGCAAAAAGCATCCTCTCTTGCTCCTTATATGGCAAAAGCAACCTTAAATTAGGCTTTTTCTTAACTTAGAAATGCAAATCAATCAAGACTGATTAAACAGATACTACATGAAAGCATTAACAAGCCATTTGGAGATATAAAGATGACATGGCCACATCTTCAAAGAGATTAAAATCCAAGTAGAAAGATAGATAAATGATTTTCAAACAAGAAAGAGCTCCAATAATATATTTAAGGAGCACAGGAAGAGGAGATTTTCATTTCAAGGGAAAGGAACAGAGGGAACCTAATGAAAATTATGGCATCTGGCACTTTTGAGAGAATAAGTCGATATTTAACTGGCAAAGAAGCAGGGAAATGCATTCTAGCGTGAAGGGACAGCATGTACAAAGGCCCAGAGGCGGACTGTGCTTATCTCTGGAGTTCTGCTCTATGCTCTTGCTCCCACAGATTAGCGTACACCCACCTCCAACCTGCAGCTGCATGGCGCACATCTGTGGAACTCCTTGCCACGTGAAGAAAGCTGGCATGAAAAGTGAGTGCAGCGCTGCCAACATTCAACACTCAGATCTACTGCACATGATCATCAGATCTGGGTACTGACCAAGCCAAATGGACCTAATTAATCACCAGGGATTGAGAAAACAGCGTAGGCAGGAATATGACACATCACTAGCTGTACTGGAAATCACACGAGGCAATCTGGAAGGCTTCTGAACCCAGAATTCATGGCAATGTGTCAGGAGATATGAAGAGGCTGCGATAACTCTGGGTGCATCAATTTTACTCCGACAGTTGTAGGGAAATGCTAAGTTAGTGTACGTTATTTTTTAAGCACAGGAAACATGGGTGAAGTATATTATAAAATGCAAAAATTTCAGTGACTTTTTAAAGTAGCATGAAAGACTTCAAACAAATTTGAACATTCCCCCAAGTCTGTATAAATTCATTCTCCTTTGTCTTAGAGATGGTTCATAGGGAAAGTTATGTGCAGCACTAACAGATTAGAGGTCAGGAACCTGGGTCCTAGTCCTTCATTGGCTATAATTGGCTATGTGGCCTTGGATAAACCTCTGGCTTCAGTTTCCTCAGCAACAGAGTTTTAGGGAAAGAGTCAATGCCCCTGAGTTCTCTTCATTTTCCAACACAGCCTGGTCCTAGGTAACTACCTTCTCTATTTGCTTCTTGATCAGGACAATGCACCAACTTTTCCACTTTAAGCAGCTCAGAGCACATAACTCTTCTATCTTTATTCTATAGATATTTGCTGGAAAACTATCAAATTCCACTGAATTTGAACACTTACCTTTTAAAACCTTTTCTAACAAACAATTTTATGATCATATTTAAAATTTGTACTGTTCCTGCAAAAACAAAATTGTGGGAACAAAAACATGATAAAAGTCCACAGGGAAGCTATGATTCAGTATAGATTCATCTGTACCTAGTTGTTATTAATAAACATTTAATTACTTTGACTTTGGACTTGCCAGCATGGTCCTTGTCACTGATAAAATAGACAAGATACTTCCTGAGAAAGTTCAAGCAGCGAGATAGCGTGGGAGGAGAGGAGAAAACTGTGTACGATTCCTACTGCAAAGTCCCATCAACACCAGAGAAGGAAATATCAGTAGAGTGTGTCTTTAACATAAACCAAGAGGTCTGCTTGAGGTTCAAATTTTTACCATAGTTTGAATCAGCACCTTTAGCAATTCTCTCAACCAACTTCATCCCTAAATGTCCAGTTGTGGTTTGTTGGGACTAGTTGTGTGCTAAAGACAGGAGTATATTGAGGGGAAAGGATATGGCAAAGGGGTTAAATTAACATCCTTTTTTGTTTGATAGACAGAAAGACATTTCTCAAGGAGTACAAGGACAACTCTCAAACTTCAACTCTCAACATTAAAAAAAAAAACTCCCCATGATCCCTGACTCAAACTTAACCCTGTGGGTTAAAGTCAATGCATCAGCTGTCGTACTAAGCTGCCAGAAGCCATGGGATAATGTTCATCTCTGGGACTGAGTTGGGGGAGTCTCTTGGCTTGGAAAGATGAGAATACAGTAGAAAGAAGCAAGTGCTAGAAAGGAGGATTTGCCTTGGACAGAGGAAGAACTAACTGGACCCTAAGGAGAGAGAATTAGAAACCATCTGTCATCAAGTTGAAGTAAGGACTTGAGAAACAAGGACAGCAAACTGGAAAAAGTAGGGGGAAGGAGACAGAGGGAGAGAGTAGCCAGGTAACCCGTGACTGACCCCAGGAGCTTGAGTCCAGTTTCGGCTCCTTCCAGTTGGCATGGTCCCACCAAAGACTGCCATGAAACAGCCAACTCTTCCTAGATTCCTTGGAAAACATTAGGTGTCAGCACTGGGTTAAGGGTTTAGGTTGTATAGTGAGACTTAGGAACCAGCCATATCTGAATGCAAATTTCAGGACTCTGTAGCTGAGAACAAGTAACTTCACCTCTGGCCTTCACATATCTGGGAAATGTACAATTATCATTATTAACTTGTAGCATAGCTATGAGGCTCAGACCAATACTCCTAAAATTTTAACATTTATGCAAACCATCTGGGGATCTTGTTATAAATACAGATCCTGATCGCTTCCATCAGGGGAAAGGCATCACATGCTGGGTGATGCTGCTGCTGGTGGTGGTCCCTGAACCACATTTTGAATAGGGAGGGGTTGGGATGATAAGGCATGGAAAGCATGTGGCATGGTGGCTGGAACTCCATAGGCACTCACTATCAGATTTAATAAATAGTGCGCAAAGGGCATTCTTATAGACCTCAAGAAGATGGTAATATAGTGACCCAATTGAGTAAACACATAGAAAGTGTCAGGTATCCCTGTGGGTACCATCTCTTATAATTCTCACAACAATCCTGTGAGTTTATCCCCATTTTACAGAGAATAAATTAAGGGGGCCCCACTGCCAAATAACATGCCCAGATGACATAAGGGACAAAACCACGGTTTGAAGCCTCATTGCCTAATTCTTCCTTTGGTGCTGGTCCTGGCCTTAGGGCATTAACAGTCTGGCGGAGAACAGAGCAGCCATAGGCCTTCTCTGAAAGGGCCTAACTGCATAACCCAAGACCACCTTTCTTCAAAAGAAATGTTCCCAACTTTAGATATGTTGATTCCTCTGAGTTGATTGTTACATGATGTATATATGTATCAAAACATCACTTTATACCCCATAAATATATGCAATTATTATTTGTCGATTACAAATAAAATAAAAATAAATACATATATTTTATTGTCTCCCCAAAATAGAAAAGAATGTCCTACTGAAATTATCTGAATTTTGAAATTATACAAAAATATACCCCCAAAATTTAGCCTTTCTCTTAATGTTTTCAGCTTCTAAAGGTGATTTTTTTGTTTGCCTCCCATTATAGCTATCATTCCATTGCTTGGCCTTCTTTTTTAAGAGCAATACACAGAACTCGAAATAGGGCCAATTCATAGACCTGTGTCATTGTGTTATTGTAAAGATAAAATGGATAAATACAGGGAAAGAACTTAAATCTTCTAAAGTCTCTCTTCTTTTCCTGTTTTTGATTTTTGACTTTTGAAAATCCCATTGCTAATGAGAATTCCAGACCTTGAGCAAGTTATTTAACTTCTCTGTGTCTCAGTTTCATCATCTGAAAAATGGGCTCATAATAACACTTATCTCATTGGACTGCTGTGAGGATTAAATGACTCAATAAGATCTTAGAACAGTGCCTAGATCAATAAATGTGAGCTATTAGGCATTGTTTCAAGGGAACATGGGCTAGACTTTTTATAAAGAAAAACAAAATTTGAAACCTGGCCACAAATTGCATTTTCCTTGTAATCCTCTGCTTTTTAACTTAAAAAAATGGGTCTAACAAACCTGAGAAAAACAAGCAATGGGGAAAGGATTCCCTATTTAATAAATGGTGCTGGGAAAACTGGCTAGCCATATGTAGAAAGCTGAAACTGGATCCCTTCCTTACACCTTATACAAAAATCAATTCAAGATGGATTAAAGACTTAAACGTTAGACCTCAAATCATAAAAACCCTAGAAGAAAACCTAGGCATTACCATTCAGGACATAGGCATGGGCAAGGACTTCATGTCTAAAACACCAAAAGCAATGGAAACAAAAGACAAAATTGACAATTGGGATCTAATTAAACTAAAGAGCTTCTGCACAGCAAAAGAAACTACCGTCAGAGTGAACAGGCAACCTACAAAATGGGAGAAAATTTTTGCAACCTACTCATCTGACAAAGGGCTAATATCCAGAATCTACAATGAACTCAAACAAATTTACAAGAAAAAAAAACAACCCCATCAAAAAGTGGGTGAAGGACATGAACAGACACTTCTCAAAAGAAGACATTTATGCAGCCAAAAAACACATGAAAAAATGCTCACCATCACTGGCCATCAGAGAAATGCAAACCAAAACCACAATGAGATACCATCTCACACCAGTTAGAATGGCAATCATTAAAAAGTCAGAAAACAACAGGTGCTGGAGAGGATGTGGAGAAATAGGAACACTTTTACACTGTTGGTGGGACTGTAAACTAGTTCAACCATTGTGGAAGTCAGTGTGGCGATTCCTCAGGGATCTAGAACTAGAAATACCATTTGACCCAGCCATCCCATTACTGGGTATATACCCAAAGGATTATAAATCATGCTGCTATAAAGACACATGCACACGTATGTTTATTGTGGCACTATTCACAATAGCAAAGACTTGGAACCAACCCAAATGTCCAACAATGATAGACTGGATTAAGAAAATGTGGCACATATACACCATGGAATACTATGCAGCCATAAAGAATGATGAGTTCATGTCCTTTGTAGGGACATGGACAAAATTGGAAATCATCATTCTCAGTAAACTATCGCAAGGACAAAAAACCAAACACCACATGTTCTCACTCATAGGTGGGAATTGAACAGTGAGAACACATGGACACAGGAAGGAGAACATCACACTCTGGGGACTGTTGTGGGGTGGGGGGAGTGGGGAGGGATAGCATTAGGAGACATACCTAATGCTAAATGACGAGTTAATGGGTACAGCACACCAACATGGCACATGTATACATATGTAACTAACCTGCACATTGTGCACATGTACCCTAAAACTTAAAGTATAATAATAATAATAAAAGAATATACATAAAAAATAAAAATAAAATAAAACAAAATAATAAAACAGCCAAAAAAAATGGGTCTAATGAAGTCTTCTTTTGAGACATAAGGCAATTAGACATTTCTTTTTTTTTTTTTTCATGTTTTAACAACATTTATTTGAATATAGTATACTGTCAATATTATTTCTAAAACTTAGTTTTTTTTTGTTTTTTTTTTGTTTTTTTTTATTATACTCTAAGTTTTAGGGTACATGTGCACATTGTGCAGGTTAGTTACATATGTATACATGTGCCATGCTGGTGCGCTGCACCCACTAATGTGTCATCTAGCATTAGGTATATCTCCCAATGCTATCCCTCCCCCCTCCCCCGACCCCACCACAGTCCCCAGAGTGTGATATTCCCCTTCCTGTGTCCATGTGACATTTCTTAACAAAGGGATTAGGCACAGAAAGTCCAAATGTTATAATGCAGTTTTATTTAGGTCTGAGACAACTCCATGGATGGCTTTATAAACCTTTTCAATATGCACCACAGCTTCTAAGCATGTTTAAATGGACTGGGAAGTTAGGACATCTGTTTACATAATTGCTTCAAATTGAACAACCATCATTTTTCCAGAAGCAGCATGTGGGTGTTGTTCTGAAAATCAAAATAACATAGAGGTGAAAGACAAAGCCCCACACATAATCAAAGAAAGCCTTCAGGCAGATAATTCAGAAGAAAAATCACAAGATATTTCCACTCTCCTAACTGGATTCCGCTAAGGCTGAGGAACAGAGTAGGGGAGGTTAAGGGCTGAATTTTCTGCCCAGTTGTGAAGAAATGAGGATTTTCTGAAAGGTCCTGAGAATGCAGTTGTCATTTTTACAGTTTCTCTCCTTACCAATGTCACCAGAAATGAGGTTACTCATTATAGCTGAGCTGGCAAGTATCATTTAACATGCTTTGTAAACTGTTAAATTTAAAGAACACGAAGTTGTCTCCCAGCATCCTGGGGTAAGAATATGTCCAATAAATGAAGAGGAGAGCAGATAGAAATGACAGAACTGAGGTTCAAGTACACAAGCTGGCACGACCTTCTCACATACCGTTATATCCCTTTACTCAGAACCTAAGGCAACTAAGAGGGCAAGAACATCACAACAAAGGATCATCTGTGTGCAAGATCCCAACACTGTCTGCCCAAGATTCCCTCTCAGAGAGCAGCACTGATGAGCATTGGAGGGATGTGATCACACCCCAGGAATCACTCTCCAAATGTTAAGGAAATCCCTTCCTGAGAAATAAACGCTTTGATAATTACACCTGGAAGGGAGCCTGGACAATATCTAGTTGCAACCCCTCTCCATTTTTGAGCTGAGTAAAATAAGACCAAGAAAGGTGAAGAGACTTGTCCAAAGGCACCTCACTATTGATGAGAGAGCCAAAGACAAAAGCTGCATCTCTAATTTAATTAGCTATTTGTTTATACCCTGCCTTTATAAATCCATTCTAGCAGTTTTGAGGATGTACCCTACCAACCCCCCCTGTACAGACATCATAGTAGGCAAGAGGGATGTAAGGATGAACAAGGAACTCATTCTCTGCATTTTAACTTTCTCAACTCAAGATATTTTGTCCATCCTTCCCCACAGTTTGGAAGCTGTCACAACTTTATTGATTCTTATGTGCATATTCAGAGCTGTGTCAACAAAATCTCTCACCTACCACTTCTGCTGCACACTGAACCTTCAGAGAAAATTAAATGGGCTGAATTGATTAGCTGTTATGTTGAACCATGTAACATTTCCATTTCTGCAGCTCAAAACTGGTGAAATATTGCCAATATCCCATGATCCAACCTAACATTCATAAGCAGCCTGGAATCTCTTAAGAAGAAAATCGCCCTTCATTCTGATAAATCATCCCAGATATTCCATCAGAGTGTGTTGCATGGGTTTCAATTAGGAAAGTAAAGTCTGGAGAATAGATAAGTAAATAAATGGTTATGTATACATACAATGGAATACTGCACAGGAATAATAAAGAACAAACTACCCACACACACGACATGGAGGAACAAGAAGAGACACCATGCTGGCTGGAAGAAGCCAGATACAAATGAGTACATGCTGTATGACCCAATATATGACGGTCCAGAACAGGCAAAAAGTACTTGATTGTGATAGAACTCAGAGAAGCAATTACCATGGGGAGTGACTGCTTTATGGTTGCACAAAGAACATGAAGAAAACTTACAGGGCACTGAATGTGTTCTATATCTTGAACCACGTATCCGTCACAGGGATTTAAACATATATAAAAATTCATCCATCTGTACATTTAAAATTACTGCACTTTGCCCACTTTGTTACATGAGTATGTATGTTATATTCTGGTTTTTAAAAAGGAAGAAAATTGTATTCTCTGACCTCCAATGATATAGTTTAGCATAGTGGTTAAGCACAGGCTCTGGAGGCAGACCATATCTGCCACTAACTATTTGGCCTTTGATGATATATTTAACCTCCATAAGCCCTCGTTTTCTTATCCTGGAATTGGAAATAAACAATAACACCTACATTACAGAGTTGTGGGACTCATTAAGTAAGATAATGTATATGAGGCACATAGCACAGAATAGGTTGCCCAAGATTAGCCAGTGGGTACTAGGAGTAGCACCAGTATACAGGCCATACTGAGAGTCCTCACTCCTTGCATACACATCAATTCCAGGGAAATTCTTTCCCTAAACATCTCTCATTCCTCATGTGGTTCTTGATGGAGAGGTAGAAACCAGGTGTTAACACCCCCAGCTCCCTGCCCACTTGTGGTTCCCCGTACATACCAGCAGGGTGTCCGGGAGGTTGTGCCCCTCTGTGAAGGTGATGACCACGGGGATGATGCCCACTGCAGCAAGCTCCAGTGTGGCTGTATTGATGGAAGCTGCATCATAGGCCCAGCCCGCCTGGAAGAACACAGCCACCTTCCTCATGAGAAGACCCGAGCGTACACGTTTGAACACGTCTCGCCATAAACCTCATGGTGGCCCCGAGGTTCCTGCGGCCAGATGACTGCTCCAGGGGGATGTTCCTGACAGCCTCCAGGAGTGCAACCTTCCCCTTGTAGTCTGAGAAACGAACCAAGTAATTGGTTTTGGCATTGTAGGAAACAATGGCCACATGGGCACCTGTTGGGCAGTTACTGTCACTTATTTCCATCTTCATCAACAGAGACAATAAAATGTCTCTCATCCTCTCAAAATCCAACAGGGAGACATCATTTGACATGTCCAAGGCAAAGGCCACTTCAGTTGGGAATGCTGGGCATTTGGAAATACCTTGAGACAACAGATACACAGATTTAAGATATTCTGTAATGCCTTGAAAGAGGTAAGGATTGAAGTGAGTAAGAAGGAATATTATTTACCTCTTGAACAAACTGGAAGGGAAATTATTTTGGAGAGAAAAGAAGACATTGTTAGCTTATGTAGGCAGTGGCACCTTTCCCATGTGTGTGCTTCAATATGAAAAACCATCTTTTCTGAGAAATTCAAGCATGGCCTTCTCAGGCTCCTGCTGAGTGTAGCAGAGACCTCTACTTGTCCCCCAAAATCCATTCTCCCTTTTTTTCTATAGTCATGGAACCCCCAATTTCACATTGAGCATATGGATGCCTGGAACAAAGACAACATTTCCCAACTTAGCCATCTTACAAATTCTAGGTAATAGAATAGGAAAGATGATAGGTAAAACTGAAAAAATATTCTTCTCCTTTCCCTTCCTTTCCCTGATGGTTGAAATATAGATGTGATGACTGAAGCCTGATATATTTTCAGACCATGAAGCAATTTGGGGAATAGAACATCCCATATACACACAATGGCAAAGCAGGAAAATATAAAGGGACTAATCCCTGACCACCACAGGCTCCATATCAACCTGAACTGACTAGTTCCAGCCTATGGTTTCAGAAATAACATTTGTACCACTGTTACTGAGGATTTAGGTCACATTCAACTGAACTTAAACCTAATGAATACATTGAGCTATTCTGAAACTATATTATATACATGTATATAATATATACACATATAAAATTACATATATATTAATTATAAACTATATGTATTATATATGTGTGTGTATACAAGTAATACATTTTCAAAAAATACTAAAAAAAACAAAAAATAGAATTACCCTTAATTCATCATGTATATGTATTTATGTATATAAATAATAAATATATAATTATTTCATTTCATTTTATAAAACTTGGAGCTTAAGATATATTTATTCTGAATCTTTATTCACTTAGTGTGTAATGATTTTTTTCCATCAATAAATTTAGAGCAATATCATCTATTTTACTATATAGATGATCCTTTATGAGGAGCATACTTGCACATGTATCTGTGCACATTTGTCCAATCATAGCCCTATATAAATCTCTGTAAGTATTGATTTTATATGCATGGTCCAGCCAGTTGCTCTTCAGAAAAGTTGTATCAATGTACACTCCCATCAGCAATATGTACTCTTACACATTTCCCAATCTGAATAGGAATTTTTCTGGCATTTTTAAAACACTTCCAACCTGAGAGACAAAATGGGTATCTCATTGTTTTAATTTATATTCTATGACTTCTGGTGAAGTTGAACATTTTTACAGGTTTATTGTACGTTTGTATATTTTCTTTTCTGAATCTCCCATTCATGTCTTTTGCCCATTTTCTAAAAGTGGTGTTTTTTTGTTTTTACATTTAGTTTTAGCCATTATGCAATGTCTGTGTTTGTAGATAAAAATGACTGAGCAGTAGCAATTTTTTATATTTCAACATGATATAGTAAGGAAGTTAGTTCCTTTGCCTGTGTCCTTTGCTTATATTACAAACTATTTTTTCCCACTTTTCTGTTTACTTTTGACTTCATGGCATCCCTCAATGTAAAAAGGTTTTAACTTTTTACATGGTTGACGCTGAGACTCTTTTAATTCATAATCACACTGATGGTATTATTCTTTATGATTTATAGGAAAAAGAAGTCCAGAATCTCTCTGAACAGCCACTGGATGGGAACAGAGAGAACATGGAAGGGTTAGGGTAAGAAGGGCAGGATGATTGCAGAGAAAACCCAAACTTCCAAACTAAGCAATTTGCCAAATCTACATTCTCACCCCATGGCCATTAAGTAGATAACTGTACATATCATAGGACACAAATATCCTGGAATGCATTGAACATAATAAATAAATTCCAACTTGAGGATGTGACAAAACATTACTTAAGATTGGATTGTTCATAATTCCATTTTCAAAACACAACTGTAAATAAAATAGGACAGATTTCTTCTCAAAGGGTGACTATTGATCCCTCCTATTTAATAGGGTTACATAAAAAGAACAAACCTCCTTTGTTTTGTGATAAGAAGCAGCAAGATGTAGGCACACAGGTGTGCAGTTATGACATCTCCTGGGGCACAGTATTGCTCAGTGGAGCTTCTCTTCATCGTTGAGATGGCATGCTGTCAATCCACTTTATTTCTGAGACCACATTGGGAAAGATTACTTACCTAAAGGGTAACTGAGCCCAATGGATGAATTTATAAGAGCCTTTCGCAATGAATCAGGCACCTTCCAAACCTCAGCCAAAGCCTCAGGTGACTTATGCCCCTAATCCGTAATCCATCCCCAGCTCATACCACTGGCTCCTTTTGAGCCTTTCCGAAACAACTTACGGCAGTTTTCACGTGTGAAATCAACAATTTTGCAAGGCTGTTAAAAAGATGGGGGGAGAACAGGAAAAAGGAAAAAGTATCTAACTTGAAGCATATTTTTATTCACACATGTCACCTTAGGAATGTCATATGGATGTTATCAGTGCCTATCTGAAGCTTTTTAATCTACAACAGAAAACCCAAAAATTGTCAGAGCCGATGAGATACTCTACAATTACATTTCCAAATCCTGTCGATATTTTAAAACACTTAAAAGATGTGTGTGCAATGTAGTGCCCATATTTTTGGAGATAGGTAGATAAGGGGTACCCATTTTTTAAATCTGCCTTACAAAGTAATGGAATAAAACCTGATTTTGAAGAAGTTGAAACCAAAGAATCTCAGCAGAGAATGCAAGGAAATGCTTTCAATTCTTGGCACTCTATATTATAATAGCAATTCCTATATCACTTCTTTAGAATGACTGCCAAGACAGACACCCCTAACACCTCACCTAGTCATTCTGCTTCTTTCCTTCGATCCCTTCCTCTCTGTTCTGTTCTTCTCTCCATCCCAGTCCTCATCACTTCCTGCTCCTCAGTTGCCTCCACACCCCCCACCCCCTGCCTAATAGTATTTTTGTACTTGGGAGATGAAACGCTATCATAACTTTTGAGATTGTTTTCAAGTGTTCCATGAAACACAGAAACCTGTGCTATTCAAAAGCCTGTGTGTGGGTTTATAAATACTTTATAAGCAGTTTTTGAGAGTTACAAAAAGTCACATTACAGAAAGGTAGTAGCCTCAAAGTCTTTTTCTTTTTTAATGTCAACTAGTGTTGCTCAAAAACACCCCAATTCCCTGCTAGATTTAAAATACCATTCTACTATTTTTATTTGACTTGGCGATAACATTTCAGAGTAAAGTCTATAAACTTAAAGTACTAACAGAATTTGTAAGAGGAAAAAACTAAAGAATCTTTAAGATTAACAGATTTCTATTTTGTGAAAGTGGAAAGCTTTGTGTTCTAAGAAGAATAAAGTTTTGGCTGGGTGCAGTGGCTCACGCCTGTAATCCCAGCATTTTGGGAGGCTGAGGCAAATGGATTACTACAGGTCAGGAGTTCAAGACCAGCCTGGCCAACATGGTGAAACCGTGTCTCTACTAAAAATACAAAAATTAGCCAAGCATGGTGGCACACGCCTGTAGTCCCAGCTACTTGGGAGGCTGAGGCAGGAGAATCTCTTAAACCTGGGAGGTAAAGGTTGCAGTAAGCCAAGATCATATTACTGCACTCCAACCTGGGTGACAGAGCGAGATTCCATGTCAATAATAATAATAATAAAGTTTGGAATTAAAATCTTCATCTACCGTCATATCTACCAAACCTTTGGGGCCCTTTATACCCTGGAAAGAATGGAAACTTGAGTTTAAAATGCAAAATTTTGAGATCCAACACATTCTTCTACAGAGTTGGCAAAAGAGTCTTAAAAACTCTACCACACTACATAGACCATCTTCTGTCCTTCACTCCCAGCCCTAGAGTTCTGTCTGACTCCTTTAGGAAGAAAGCCAGAGTGCCTAAGAGGTGTATCCAAGACCTCTGAGTCCAGAAGGCCTAGACAGAAACACTCTTAGAGGACCAGGTCATTTTGAAACCATAGTTTAGGATCACATTCAGAAAAAGGGCTATCAAAGATCCCAGGACCATTCATCGATAGTTCTAAAGTAGACCCCAGTTCCTCCCTTATCCCTTCTCTTCAGGCCACCCAGCACCACCCTTTTTCTGCCATAATACTGAACAAGAAGTCTTCTCTGGAAACCTTGCGATTAGAGCTTCATGGCTCCAACCTCTGGGAGTCTAGAGATCATTTTTCTTATTTAGAATCTACAAGGTGGTAACTTGTGACCTCAGGCAGGTCACTATAATTATCTCAGCATCTCAGCCTTTGTTTCCTCTTCTGTAAAAATGCCATGAATGGTCCTTCTAGCATTAAAATTTTTTATTTTCTGACTTTGTTGCACCTCTCCAGTAAACCCTAGACTGCAAGTGAGACCACCAGGTTCAATCCATGGCTGACCTACTGCGCCATCCCTCGTGGATTGACAGTCTGGCCTCCTAGGACAAGGCGCAGAGCAGAAGGATCGTAGCCTCAAACTCTTTCCTTTCATATCAAATGATGTTCCAGGGAATTTAAAAAATATTTGTGGACTTGCAACATTGTTAGTTAAGATTATATAAATATTATATTTTGTTAGGGTTTCCCCCTAGTTTTGCATAAATATTGTTGCTCATCTTGTTTGCAATGATAAACAATGATAAACTCACTCTCCAGTGAGTTTTATGCATCATTTTATTTATTTAGGTTCATAAATCTCCAGCCACTCCAATATCTTCCCCATGTTCAAGTAAAAATATATATTGAATAAATATACTGTATAAAGACTTGAAGCTAATATGCTATAGGACAAATTTACCCCATTCTCTATGTTGATCCCACTGTTTGTCCCAAATGTTCATTTCTTCTTTAGAGATGCTTCTTATCAAATCTTCATTTATTTTTATACAACAGTTGAAAACAAAAGAAAAAGGAAGGGTACATATTACCATTTGTCCTGGTGGGCCTTGGTCACCCGAAGTTCCAACAAATCCAGGAAAGCCAGCATTACCCTAAAAAAAGACCAAGCCAGAAGAATAAGCTTCCTCTTTGATTACAACCATCAGATCCATTTTGATATGTTATTATTCCTAATGCCAATGAGTCTGCTATTGACCAGTTAGTTTATAAACTATATATCTGTGGGACAAGACATGGAGAATAGAAAGAGAGGAAGGTCATTTTATGGGAACCATCCAAATTCCCCCCTATATACCCAACCTCAGTCATGCACATATGTACATACACACACAAACACACACTTCTAGACAGATCCTTAAAATATGACTCAATACACTCTGTTGAGTCTTGAGGTTATATAATAAAAATAATGCAGGACGTCTGCATTAAGGGCCTGACATCAGGAAAAAGGAAAAATTTCCCTACCACCTTCTGGTTCTCAGTGTTTCAGAAAACGCACATGGTGGTCATAGGTTCACTGCTCATCTTCCAAGCATTTGAAATGACACAGTGTTATCTAAATACAGTGAATCCTTTATCTTTTTTTATTTGAAACTAGAAATAAAAGTTAGTTGATCAGAGCAACCATAGTCAGCAGCAAGCCAAGTTAGGCACAGATCAAATATTTCTTTATGTCCTTGCCAATGTATGAAAATGCTAATTCTTGAGTACCTAGAAAACATACATTATCTTTCCTTTCCTCTTTTCTGCAGTAAACACTAGTCCATTTCCTAGAAGACCTTGGTCTCTAACATTGATCGGCTAAACATTACCAAGATGTTAGATATCCACAGGCTTACTCTTCAAAAAGAGCTGCCAGTGATTGTGGCTGTTCAAGGCTGACTGTTCAGAACATAAAGGAATTGATTTTTAATCGGAGACTTGTATAAAGCACAGTGGACTCAAAGTCCACCAAGATGGCAACTACATTCTCAAGAATCTTTTCTAAAAATAGCAAGAGAAAGTTAAGGCTTGGAAGAATCCTAAAGAAACAGCAATGTTTGCTCAACAGCTAAAACAATATCCTTCCAAATGATGTCTAGACTTACCAAAGACACAGGTGCTCCCAAACTTGGTTTTAAAAGGTTGGTATTGTAAAACCAAAACTCCCAACTTGGATTTTCTGTTGTTATGGCTTGGTAAACTGTATTTGTATTCAGGAGATAAATGAGAGTGGGATTAAGTGGGGAGTGGGATAGCCAAAGGAAGGTGTGGAATGAGCATTGACTGGGCAGGAATGGGCTTCCTGCTAAGAAGTCCTAACCCAGTGGAAACGTACTTCCGTAATGATGTGGGCTTCTATAGATCTTAGGAAGTTTCTTTGATTCTTACCCTCTTCCCTCTTATTCCCTTTGCCCCCTTTTCTCCTTGATGGCCCGGGTCACCATCTTCTCCCTTAATAGAATCAAAAGCAGAACTTTGAGTGTAAAGAAAAATAAGCACAAACAAATGACACATGCTGCCTACCAGTTGCCAGGCCCAGAAATATATCTTCTTACTTGTGCACCAGGATAGCCAGGGAATCCATGTTCACCCTAGTGCCAGAAATGAGATAAGGTCTTATTTAATGTCATGTGATTAAGAAATTTCCTTGACATGCCTTGGGGAAAAAGAAGACACTATAATCCAGGTTCACCCTAGTGTCAGAAATGAGATAAGGTCTTGTTTAATGTCATATGATTAAGAAATTTCCTTGACATGCCTTGGGGAAAAAGAAGACACTATAATTTTGAGGAAATATACTCAAAACAGGTGCCAGGAAAAACAACTATAGCAACAGTTGTTATCTTGAGCTGCTCTCAAGTGGCCATATTTCATATCTCTAATTCAACATGAAACAACTTGTAAATAATTTTTACAAATTTCCCCCCCTCCCTAGTATATTGTGTAATGAAACTTCTTCCATAGGGCATTTTTATCTCTCAGTTTAAATAACCTGAGGTTTAATCCAACAGAAACCAAGGGAGAGGGCACCACATTGAGTGTTGGGAAGCAGGTGCTCATTGTCAGAACCAAAGGCAAACTACAAAGCAATCATTCATTCAACAAATATCTATTCACATCTCCTATCTTCCAAGCACTTCTCTAGGCACAGGAAATTCAGCAGTGAACAGAATGAAGACCTTGCTCTCACGGAACTTACAAGCTAGTGGGGAGGAAAATGAACAAAGAAATATATAATATGTGAGAAAGAGATCAATGTTATTCCAGAAAGGGTATTAAGGAATAAAGAACCATGTGTATCAAAGGATGAGGAGACACTATTTTATATGAGGTAGTCAGGCAAAGCCTTTTTATAAAGGCGGCATTTGGGCAAAGACCAGCATGAATTGAGAAAACAAGCAGACTTCTGGGAGAAGAGTGTTCCAGGCAGAGGGAGGAGTATGTGAAAAAAAAAAAAAAAAAAAAACCCTGAAGTAAGAGGAAGAGTATGTGCTGACATGTTTGAGGAACACTGAAGCAGAGTGGAGCAAGGAGGGCAGGCAGGAGGAGATGAAGACAAAGAGTTCACAGAGACCACACTGTGTAAATTCTTATAGACCATGTTAACAGTAGGTTTTATTCTGAGTGACATGGAGAACGACAGAAGGGCTATGAATAAAGGAATGACTTGATCTGACTATGTTTTTAAAGATGTCTCTAGCTGATGCATGGAGAACTAACTATATGAGGCAAGGGTGGAAGCAGAGAGACCAGGTCAGTGGCTATTGCCGTAACACAGATGGAAAATTATGTTGGCTTGGTCCAGAGGGTGGCAGTGCAGTTGTGAGAAATGATAAAATGCTGGATGTACTTTGAAGATAGGCTTACCACTATTTGTTGATGGATTAAATGTGGGAGTGAGAGAAAAAGATTTATCAATGACAGCTGCAAGTGTCTGTTTTGAGCAACTGGATGGATGAAGTTTCCAGTCCCTGAGATAGGAAAGGCTGGAGGAGGGGCAGGTTGTTAAGGGAACCAGTTTTGGCTGACTGGATATTTGATAATATTAAAGGATTATTATTAATTCTTTGGTGTAAGAATGGTAGTGTGGTTACATTTTTAAATAATCTTTTAAAGATGCAACCTGAAATGTCTATGCATGGAATATATGATTATCTTGAAGTAAATCCCACCTATATCACATGACCTACAGTAGGCGAACGTATGTAGACGTTCTCTCCTCACTCCTATTTTCTTAATGAAATACGAAGAATGATCATCTGCTTTAAATATGGACGACAAAGCAGATCTTGGAGGTTTGAGGAGGAAGGAGGGGGTATGAAATCAGCATGGTGGGAGGATAAGTGACTGGGTGTATAAATAAAAGAAAACAAAATTGGCCAGGGGTTGTTCATTGTTTGGATTAGGTGATAGGAACGTGGGGTGAGGCAGAAGAATGTCATTATACTAGTCTCCACTTTTATTTTTGAATTTTTCTGTAACAAAACGTTAACAAACAAAAAAACAAGAAGAAATTTATTTGGGGACATGCCAATTTTAAGATGCCTGCTAAACGACCAAGTGGAAATATTTTTAGAGTTTAGGATATTGGTCCAAGCTGGAGAGATAAAGTGGAGATAACAGGATTGATGGTTATTGATGCTATGGAACTGGATTTCCCCAAGAAATGTCACCGGAGAGGTGAGTAAAGAGGGAAGAAGGTATGAGAATAGAGCTTTCAGTCTTCTGATACTTAAAGGTCAAGAACATCCAGAAGATCTAGCAAAGCAGGATGAGAAAGAGAAGACAGTGAAAACCAGGAAAATAGAACGCACTGGAAGTTGAGTGAGGGAAAAAATCGGGAATAAACCCATGATCAATCTGTCAAATGCTGCTGAGAGATGGAGCACAATGAGAGCAGAGAAGTGACCATTGAATTTAGCAACATGGGGTTTACCTCAACTAAAGCAGATGTAGTTGAGTGGGGAGGGTTGAGGAGTGAAGGCTTGAGTGTCAGTTTTTCAACTTCAGCATCACTGATATTTTGGACCTGATGGTTCTTTGTTGGGAGGGGCTGCCCTGAGTATTGTAAGATGTTAAACAGCATCTCTACCCAGTAGATGCCAGCACCCTCTCCTTGAGTTCTGACAACCAAAACATCTCCAGACATTGTCAAATGTCCCCTGGAGGGCAAAATCACTTCCGTTGAGAAGCACTGGTATAGACTACTCCTTCAGTGAGTTTTGCCCAGGGGAAAAAAATGGAACGAGAGCCTCAGAAAGCAAAAGGGAGTGGAATCCAGTCTAGGAGGCAAGGATTAGTCTTAGGTAAGACCATGGACCCTCGTCCATAGTAGTAGGAGAGAAGGCAGGGTGTATGGGTACAGAGGCAAGTAGGTTGGCCTACTTGGTGGTGAACATTTATGGAGGTTCTTTTCTCCCTGCTTCAATTTTGTTCTTGAAATAGGAAGCATGATCATCTGCTTTAAGTATGGAAGACAAAGCAGATCTTGGAAGTTTGAGGAGAGAGGTGAGGGTGTAAAATAGTCAACTCAGAGAGAAGGGGAGTGAACAGATTAAGAAAATGTAGTCAACTGGCCAATCAGCATTATGAGACATTTAAAGTGAGGCCATTACATCTCGCAAAGAAAAATTCATGCAAATATGGACTGAATCTGTGTTCCATAATTTAACTGTATCATGATAAACAAAGACTGCACTTGTGCTTAGCTCCAAACTGACATGTAGCTCAAACCACATATATTTGAATTCTACCCAGAATTTCCCTGCTATGCAAACTTGTCCATAGCAAAGAAAAATTTAGTTTACCTGGATGGAATTTCAAGGGACTAGCTTCCACATTCAGCTCTGCCTCTAACTAGCTGTGTGACCACAGGCAAGTTACTTCACTTCTCTAAGCCTCAATTCTCTGAAATGTAAATTGACAAAGCTAAACTAGATGATCACTGAGGTTCCCCATAGCCCATCATTCCATAGATATTTACTGAGAACTTACTATGTTTGAGGCATTTTTCTGCTCAATAAAATGGCAGTGGTGCCATCTTGCAGCCACAGGGAAACAAGAGAATTGCAGAGAAGCCAGCCCAGAGTACGGACATCATTAAGCAACTAAGCATCACTAAACATTCCAGTAATTTCTTATTTTGTGAGGCAATACATGTAACTTGAAGACTGAAGCATCCAGAATAACAGTGGGTATTGAGATTTGATTTGCTCAACAAGTTCCATGTGACCTCCATGCTTTAAGACCTGTCAGTGACCAATTAACTACCTATTAAAATACAAGCTTCTTATGAGAGTGGCAGTCATTCATTTAAATACACTTATTGTCAGCACATCAAAAAGCTTATCCACCATGATCAATTGGGCTTCATCCCTGGGATGCAAGGCTGGTTCAATATATGCAAATCAATAAATGTAATCCAGCATATAAACAGAGCCGAAGACAAAAACCACATGATTATCTGAATAGATACAGAAAAGGCCTTTGACAAAATTCAACAACCCTTCATGCTAAAAACTCTCAATAAATTAGGTACTGATGGGACGTATTTCAAAATAATAAGAGCTATCTATGACAAACCCACAGCCAATATCATACTGAATGGGCAAAAACTGGAAGCATTCCCTTTGAAAACTGGCACAAGACAAGGATGCCCTCTCTCACCACTCCTATTCAACATAGTGTTGGAAGTTCTGGCCAGGGCAATCAGGCAGGAGAAGGAAATAAAGGGTATTCAATTAGGAAAAGAGGAAGTCAAATTGTCCCTGTTTGCAGACGACATGATTGTATATCTAGAAAACCCCATTGTCTCAGCCCAAAATCTCCTTAAGCTGATAAGCAACTTCAGCAAAGTCTCAGGATACAAAATCAATGTGCAAAAATCACAAGCATTCTTATACACCAACAACAGAAAAACAGAGAGCCAAATCATGAGTGAACTCCCATTCACAATTGCTTCAAAGAGAATAAAATACCTAGGAATCCAACTTACAAGGGATGTGTAGTTCTTCAAGGAGAACTACAAACCACTGCTCAATGAAATAAAAGAGGATACAAACAAATGGAAGAACATTCCATGCTCATGGGTAGGAAGAATCAATACCGTGAAAATGGCCATACTGCCCAAGGTAATTTACAGATTCAATGCCATCCCCATCAAGCTACCAATGCCTTTCTTCACAGAATTGGAAAAAACTACTTTAAAGTTCATATGGAACCAAAAAAGAGCCCGCATCACCAAGTCAATCCTAAGCCAAAAGAACAAAGCTGGAGGCATGACACTACTAGACTTCAAACTATACTACAAGGCTACAGTAACCAAAACAGCATGGTACTGGTACCAAAATAGAGATATAGATCAATGGAACAGAACAGAGCCCTCAGAAATAACACCACATATCTACAACTATCTGATCTTTGACAAACCTGAGAAAAACAAGCAATGGGGAAAGGATTCCCTATTTAATAAATGGTGCTGGGAAAACTGGCTAGCCATATGTAGAAAGCTGAAACTGGATCCCTTCCTTACACCTTATACAAAAATCAATTCAAGATGGATTAAAGACTTAAACGTTAGACATAAAACCATAAAAACCCTAGAAGAAAACCTAGGCACTACCATTCAGGACATAGGCATGGGCAAGGACTTCATGACTAAAACACCAAAAGCAATGGCAACAAAAGACAAAATTGACAAATGGGATCTAATTAAACTAAAGAGCTTCTGTACAGCAAAAGAAACTACCATCAGAGTGAACAGGCAACCTACAAAATGGGAGAAAATTTTTGCAACCTACTCATCTGACAAAGGGCTAATATCCAGAATCTACAATGAACTCAAACAAATTTACAAGAAAAAAACAAACAATCCCATCAAAAAGTGGGCAAAGGACATGAACAGACAATTCTCAAAAGAAGACATTTATGCAGCCAAAAAACACATAAAAAAATGCTTATCATCACTGGCCATCAGAGAAATGCAAATCAAAACCACAATGAGATACCATCTCACACCAGTTAGAATGGCAATCATTAAAAAGTCAGAAAACAACAGGTGCTGGAGAGGATGTGGAGAAATAGGAACACTTTTACACTGTTGGTGGGACTGTAAACTAGTTCAACCATTGTGGAAGTCAGTGTGGCGATTCCTCAGGGATCTAGAACTAGAAATACCATTTGACCCAGCCATCCCATTACTGGGTATATACCCAAAGGATTATAAATCACGCTGCTATAAAGACACATGCACACGTATGTTTATTGCGGCACTATTCACAATAGCAAAGACTTGGAACCAACCCAAATGTCCAACAATGATAGACTGGATTAAGAAAATGTGGCACATGTACACCACGGAATACTATGCAGCTATAAAAAATGATGAGTTCATGTTCTTTGTAGGGACATGGATGAAATGGGAAATCATCATTCTCAGTAAACTATCGCAAGAACAAAAAACCAAACACCGCATATTCTCACTCATAGGTGGGAATTGAACAATGAGATCACATGGACACAGGAAGGGGAACATCACACTCTGGGGACTGTTGTGGGGTGGGGACAGGGGGGAGGGATAGCACTGGGAGATATACCTAATGCTAGATGACGAGTTAGTGGGTGCAGCGCACCAGCGTGGCACATGTATACATATGTAACTAACCTGCACAATGTGCACATGTACCCTAAAACTTAAAGTATAATAATAAAAGAAAAAAAAAACAAATACACTTATTGAACACCTACTCTCTGCCAGGCTCAACTCCAGAAAAACAAAAGTGCAATGCTGCTGTCAGGTTTATTGCCTGGGAGATACAAGAATAAATTACAATACAACCTTAACAGAAAGGAGCTACTGCAGAAATATGAACGTGCTTTAGGAACACAGTGTATAGGACAGCAAATTCTGTCTGGGGAAGACCAAGGCTGCTTCCACAAGGAGAAGTTAGTACTTGACTGGGTCTTAGAAAATGAGTAAAAATTGTCCAAGAGATGGAGATCAGGAAGCACATTCCAAATGGAAACACGAGCGTTTGCAATGCCAAGGAAGTTGAGAAAGGGTCTGGCACTACCAGAGCTGAGGTGGGAATATCTGACATATATGTGGAAGATGAGGGAAGAAGTTTGACTTTTAAATAAGAGAGTGACAAAATCAATTTTTACTTTTTAGGGAGGGAGCTCTGGTGGCCAAAACATTTTGTAAATATGTACAAACCGTTCCTGGCATACAACTTGGAAAATAACACTTATTTTAATAAAATAAAATAAAAACTACAGTCCTTAGTTCAGAATACCCTGTAAGGTTACCCTCACCTTTGTTCCTTTTGTTCCTGGATGTCCTTATCCATCAGAACCAGGAAGACCCTAAGAAAATGACATATAAGATGAATTGTAGAGTCATGCAGACCAACACTTGGTTGATAATAATATCTGAACCCTTGGATAAATCAACAATGCAAGGAAGTAAGGACAACAATGGGGCTTGATGGAGATTGGGAGACAACCTTCATAGGACAAACACTCAGATTTGGAGAAGATGAGGGTTTAAAACTTTGAAAGACCACAACAGAAGGAAGTTTTTAGGTTTTTTCAACCCCCATCTGTACATCAGCAAGATGATACCTTGGTTGTAGGAAGCCATACACAACTGTACAAAGTTTCCCTTGGGCTAAACTTGCTTTCCTTGTGAGATAAAGTAAAAATAGAAGCTCTAGAATTGGTAAATCATCAGACAAAAGCACAGACTTTGGAGAAAAAGAGTGGAATATAGGCAATATAGTTTAGTGATTAAGTGTACAGACTATAAACCCAGACAGACCTGAATTTTTATTCCAGTCCCAACATTAGTTGTTTGAGTGACCCTAGGGAAGTTGCACAACCTCTATAAACTTCAGTTTCCTAATCTGTAAAATAGGGATAATAGTATCATCTTACATTGTATACTTGTTGGGAAGATTAAGTGAGATTGTGTATGAAAAGTGCTTAGCACAATGTCAGGCACAGAGGCAGTACTTGATAGATGGTAATTAGTCTGCTGCTGGTGGTAGCAGTGGTAATGATGGTGTCGGAGGAGGGCAGTAATGATAGTGGTGCTGATGATAATAGTGAAGGTGGTGGTGATGGTAGTGATAGTGGTAGCAATGGTGATTGATGATAGTGATGGTGATAGTAATGATGATGGTGGCAATGGTGATGATGGTGTTGGTGGTAGTGATGATGGTGATGGTGGTGGTAATAATGAAGATGATGGTGATAGTGATGGTGGTAGTGGTGGTGATGATAATTGTGATAGTGGTAGTGGTAGTAATGATGGTAGTGGTGGTGGTGGTGATGGTGATAGTGATGATGGTAATGGTGGTACTGATGGTGACGGTGGTGATGGTGATGGTGGTGATTATGCTGGTAGTTTTGATGTTATTGCTGAAGATAATGATGGTGGAGGTTGCAGTGGTGGTGATGATAATAATCATGAAATTGGTGATACTACCAAGGAGCTTAGCATCTGTATAGACAGACAATGAGCTTACTGTAATAAAGAGTAAATTCAAAACCCTATAGGTGTTTTTTCTGAATGGACAGAGTTCCCCTAAACCAGGTAGATCAGTTGAGAAGAAAAATTAAAAATCTGAAGTCACAAAAAGATTCCTATGGTCTAAATAGGAAAGTCTGAAAGACTAGAAAAGAAAGAAAAATAAGACAGAAGATTGCCAAAAATGAGTTCTTGGCAGGGGCCATGGGGCGGTGATAATGAAGTTCATTTGCTGTTACTCCATCTTGTCCTTGCTGAAGGATGTGCAGAACCTCCAGCATCTGCAACCCCCAAGACCCAAACTCTGTATTTTTCGAGATGTCTTTTGAAAATAGTCATAAAATAGCTAACTTGCTCTCCTGTTCGGGGTGATAACTAAGGTAAAAATGCATAGCCCTGCGTTTGAAAGTATTGTCTTGTAAAAGGAAATCTTTTATGATCTTTGGTCTCCAAAGATTATTTCTATGCTCTGGATAATCAAACCCATACTCTTAAAAGTTTGCTGATCTGGCTGCCTTATTTGTTGCCCTGGAAAAAAAATGTTTCACTGAACATCTCTGTATTCCTAAAAGACTCAAATGCTTATAAAATATCATTGTCAAACAGATGAGAGACATTGGCACTTTGCTCTTCAATATGTGAGAAGGCAAAATAAATTCCAAGTCATCTTTAGATTCTTAATTTATACAAGAAGTCTCAGAAACTTTGACTGTTTTGATTCTTAAGAGCTCTGGTGGTCATGTCATATTTGGAACCATGAGTTTAACTCATCAAGAATATTAAAATTTTGTGTTCACAGCAATGATGTTAAAGCCATTTCAATTTATTACATCAAGTTGATGCCATTTTTGTTTATCAAACCTCTTTTTTCATAATTTCTTACCAGCATCTAAAATATGGATAAGACACTTTAATGCTGTGGTAGATGACTCCATCAAAATTCGGCTTAGTGCACACTGAGATTTTTTAGACTATATCTCCCTGATTTGCCTGATTTCTTGTCTCTGGTACCTATATTCTGAACTGAATAAAAGTGGTTGCATACATTTAAAACATTAGAATTTTATGTAAAACAAGAACAAATGGCAAACAAATTCAATCAAGAATCCAAAACAGAGAAACTGGACTTACAGGTTGCCCTCTTGGTCCTTGTCGACTCTGTGGGCCTCTTTCTCCTACATCACCAATCTCTCCCTTTTATTATAAAGAGAAAATATCTAATTAATTTTCTTCTGTGAGATTATGTAATTTTGTGTCATTTTCCTTAGAGATTTTACAGTCACTGCTTTCAAGTTTTGGTAGCATGCCATACAGCCTAAGGTAAATACTTTTCTCTAGGCTTTGTTAAATATGGATGACTAACAAACATAGTAACAATTTTGGTACCGAAAATTAGCAGCACCAGGTATGCAACAACAATTACAGAATTTTATATTACTATGTCTTTTTCTAAATTTGGATGTGCACATTTATATTTGTGGTGAATCCATATGTATATCTATCTGTTGATACATCTTTGTCTACTTAAACATGTGATTCATTTTTCTATATGTTCATCTATATGCCTTGCCTTCAATCAATAGCATCACCAACCATATCAGAAATGTATGCTGGAAGTGATGATATAAGTAAAGATTTGTTTAAGAAAACCCAAGGGGTTCTCTCAAGCTACAATCAAGAAAGAGCGTGTTCTCTGACATTTACCTTCACTCCTCTTGGTCCAGCTTTTCCTTTTGAACCATTTGGCCCTGGAGGCCCAGGATTCCCCTGCAACAAGACCGTGGCCAAAATCACCACCAGGGCCACAAAGTTAACTGTCTGTCTCTGTTGTTATTATTGAAATACTCTGTAACTGGTAATATGCTCATGAATCACCTTAGAGATGGGAGTTTAACCTTTAGTATTTAATACAATTAATTAATTCTATCCTCCAACATTCAAAATGCATAATATACACACACTATGGGCTGGGGGGGTTAGGATAGGGGAGCAGGAGGCCACATCTACCACATACTGAGAATTGAAGGAATCATTTCTATGCTACAGAGGGAAACATTATTTGATTAAGAGATCAGGAAAACAAAAGCCTAGACTTTCACCTGCTCCAAACTGAAGATATTTTCAACTGAGATTGACAATAATATAATCAGTTATAAGGCTAGATTTTCTTTCCTGATCAAGGCAGAAAAATAGCAGAACTATTGCTTTGGCCATCTTTGAGCTGCTATTTTCAGTTTCCTGATGGAGACTCATTCCTGACTCTAATCATGCTGCTTATGTTTCTAAGCCATCTCAAATGCTCATTTCCTCAGGAAGCCAATCTAATCATCCGTCTCAATCTATCCAAGCATCCTATGAACCATCAAGATATTAGGTGGGGAGTAAAGCAGGCACTAGAAAGAACCAAGTTGGAAGTCAGTTCAGACACTTACTATCCGGATGACAAGTCATTTAATTCCCCTTAGCCTCAGTTTCCTTATCTATAAAATTGGTATAGTAATGCTTCCTTACATATTTGTAAGGAGCAGATTAGTTATTTATAATTTTATATGGTACCATTATGTCATCTTTTACTATAGCTAAATATGAACTTATATTACATACCCTCGAGGTTTAAACCCATATCTCATTGGTCACTATATTCCCAAAACTTACCTAGGGTAGAAGAAGATACATAGCAGATGATCAATATCTACTGCATCAAATTAGCTTTTCTAGAAATTCCTGATATCCCCATATCCCAGAACAAACAGTGTGACTTTATGTTATTTATCCAGGAACACTCAGGGGTATGAATCAGCCAGTGTTAATGAGTAGCTGCATTGTAGCTGTTTTACAAACCTACCTGAGCACCCACTAAGCCTTTTTGTCCAGAAGTTCCTGGTGGTCCTTGCCTTCCTCTTGGTCCCTGATCCAAAGATGAAATTAAAATGCAACCAATTTTTAAAGAGTCATTTATATTCCATGTAACCACAAAATCACCTTGGATGCCAATGGAAGCACAAATTAAGGTGCCCTGACCCATCACTATCTCATTTATCAAACTTTAATCAGGGAGCATCTGCACTCTGAAGCACCCCAGAACACTCACTTCAAACTCATGCCATCTGAAGCAGAGGATGCGAGTCCTCAGCGTCTCTATTTTTAGCAATCTCTCCGGGTGAATCTGATGAGTACTACAGTTTGAGAACATTGCTTTTATTTTTGAATTCACTCAACCAATTTTAAATTCTAAAAGGGTGATGAGAGGGCAGCGAGGCTATTGATCTCCATTGAAGAATGAACCTTTTCCTTATACACACAAGGGTTAAGGACAAGAGATTGTGTTTTCGATTTGATCAAGAGCCAAGGGTGCATTTAAGTAGCTTAATCTCACTGACTACACTGCTGGGATTTGCTCATTTTCTCTCCAATCTATTTTACTTTGCTGATTTTTGACACTTTAATATTTTCCCAGCTTTTCTGAGAAACACTTTCCTATTAGAAGTATTGATTGACTATGGCTTCTACTCTCCTAAGTGAGGTATTGATAATCATCTATTTAAATAGACCATCACACTCACATCCCAGCGGGAAGGTGAGAATTAAGGAGAGGTTTTATTGATTATCTTGCTCATGGTTCCCAGCATGACTTGCTTCACTTCCAATCAGCTGTGTAATGAAGTGGGTATAGACAGGAAAGCAGCGACACAACAGTGGTAGAGGGTCCTGAGCCAGTCATCAAAAAGAAAAGGGAAAAATATACATCTTTTAGTTGCTTTCCCTTCAGTTCAGATGCTATTTTCCATCATAAAATAAGTATAATCTCTAATTACACGTTAACTACCATTTTTTTTTCCTTAGTTCCCTTAGCAAGTCTAAGAGCAGCAGATACCTTCTGAAATTATCATCTGACACTCATAGGATTTTTAATTATGGAGAATGATTTGATATATTAGTAAAATTTGTTGTTCCGAAGTTCTTCAATTTGAGTATACTTAAAAACAATTTGTTTTTTAAAATAAATACATATAATGTGCTCCAGAAGGGCTATAGAATGACAGATTTGGGTTATGCTTAGACGATGCCAAAAGAACAGGTTGAAAGTTTAAATTTCCAGTTATCATTTGATAACCTAACAAAACCCCACTGGATGAACTTCTTGAGGGCAGGACCCTTGCCTTAATGGTATGAATGTCCGAGGTCTATTAGCAGTTCCCTGTGCATAATACATACTCTGTAAACACTTTACTGATTTTTTCCTACCAAATTGAATGATGGGGTCTCACTCTGTTGCCCAGGCTGGAGTGCCATGGCACCATCATAGCTCACTGCGTCCTTGAACTCCTGGGCTCAAAGTGACCCTCCTGCCTCAGCCTCCCAAGTAGCTGGGATGAAAGGTGCACACCACTATGCCAAGATATAAATACAATTTCAGCAAATTAAATAATATTTGAATACACAGCTTCAGAGGCAGTAATCAAGAGCACTGATTTTGTAACTATACTGCCTGAGTTTGAATCCCAGCTTTATCACTCACTAGCTGTGTGACCTTTGCCAATTTACCTAACTTCTCCATTCCCTCTTTATTTTTCTCCTGTAAAATGAGGATAATAACTTCCCTCCCATTGAAGAATTAAATTAGTTAATACAAGTGCTTTAGACAGTGTCTAGAACATAGAGGTCAATAAATATTAGCTATTGTGGTTTAATCTTTTCAGAAAAGGGGCTATACAATTTTCTTTGGGAGGCCCTGGAAAGGAGGCATCCAAAGCCATTCTGATTTATGTTAAATTATTATCAAACAATAAGTTAAAATTTCAAACAAATATCCTTCAGCACTAAAACCAAGCTCCCAGATACAACCTGTGAGCCTGGATACCCAAGCTCTCCTTGGTAACCCTGTTCACCAGATTCTCCAGGCACACCCTGTCAAAATGAATAAAACTTATAGTGAGTTCACCAGCCATCTTTAGTGTTCTTATTGAAAGCAGCTTTTCCTGCAATATATCACTTGAAACCACAAGAGAAAGACTCAAACAAGATTGGACTGGTTGTGATCAATCCTCTTAGGAGATGAAGTTGAAGGGGAAATGTGGGTATTTACACTTATCTTGGGAAAAGGCAAGACCAGATTCTTAAGGCCTTTCCCAGTCTTTGCACATCTCCTTCCAATGTCTCAGCTAGTGATGGGAGCAAAAATACTTTGTTTAAATAACCCAAATTCGTATTTTGTGTAATAACTGGTTCCTAAACAGTCCTTCCTTTTAAGGCATACAGACTAAACGTTCAAGGGCATTAAGGTCTTTTATTTCATACAAGGAAACTCAGAATGTTGATCACAACAATAAACATGACACTCTGAGACAAAGGCACAAAAAGTGCTTGGGAAAATAACAGGAAAGTGGCTTTAAAACCCTACAGACCTTGATGGCAAGAAGCTAGCTCTCTAGGCAAAGGATGAGTTGTTAAAATGATTCATTCTATAACTGATTTAATTTATCCCACAAATTAATATTTTCATTTCTCAGAGAAGATATGTTTTCCAAGATTGAGGATAACATCCATTTTGTGAATTGTTCTGCCTTCTTTTTCATGTTGCTCACATGTTGACTAGATTATTAATTATTCATAGATATGCAAAGAGCAAAAACTTCAAAGTCAGAATTTAATAAATATGTGGATCAATTACTTGTGCTTCATCAGTTTTTGAAACTATTCAGTACTTCTATTAATCATTCCTGTTATGTTATTCTGCTCTTTAAGAGTTGATTTCTAGATTTATAAATATGAACCAAATTTTAAAAGGAATACAGCTAGAAATTTTGAACCAGGTTATGAAATGTGGTCTAATTTGCATATCACATTAGTGATATTCATAGTGCAACATTTATAAAAACAATGTGGCTATATATAGCAATGTTCAGACTCTATCATAACTCTATGCTTATACATTTATATTAAGAAAATAATATGAGTGGAGCAAAAGTGAAAACAAAACAAAAAACCTATAATACACGTCACTGACGTTCTTCACATCAATTACCACGATACCCAACAAAACAGAAATTACCTAAATGCTCAACATAAGAAAGATTAGTAAATCATGGTACTTCAATAGAGTAAAACATAATGTTCTAAAATGATAATAGGGAGATTTGGAAACAGGAAAAAGCAGAATATAAAATGTTATCTACATTATAATAATCCTTTATTTTTTATACAAGAGAACAGAAAAACATGAAAATACTTGCCGAGGGGTGGTGGGTTTATGTACCTTTAAAAAAATTAATAACATTCTCAATTTTATCATAAACAGCAAGTTTAAAATCTTGCCTTATTGCCAAAAAAGGAATGCATCAATTTGTTTGGCATAAATATAACCTTTTCCATAAATAAAATTATACTTAGAATTCCACTTTATTATACATCTTGCAAAGGCCAGCAGATCTAATTTTGTAGATAATACTGAGCCAGATTTTCCCAAAGTCCAAGGAATGCTGTAATTTGGAGTTATGAGCCTATATGACCAGTGCTCCAATGTTGAGTCAACTAGCAAACCACTGACATGGTGGATAAACCCAGTTCATCCTGAAGCCTGAAAATATTTGTAACTATATCTCTTATTTTAAAAATCAACTACACTATAAGGCCATAGTCAGCAAAACAGCATGGTACTGGTATAAAAATAGGCATATAGAGCAATGAAACAGAAATAAATGAAATAAATAATAGAAATGAAAGTCCTACTCTAAGATATTAGGATATTAGCTTCTTTTCAATCTAAATGAAACATTATAGCAAGGTGGGGAGGAGGCAGAGAACCATATAAACTTTCCCTTTTTCATGAAAAAAATCGCCATGGAAACTTTCAATGAACCTCATGCAACCTCAGACAGCCCAGCCGGCACTCTCCTTGACCTCAGAGAGAACAATTTAAAGAAGCCATAAAAGATAGACAAATGGGACTATATTAAACAAAAATCTTCTGAACCGAAAAAAAAAAAAAAACAATGAGCAGAGTGAAGAGACAACCTGTTGAATGGGAGGAAATACATGCAAACTATTCACCTGACAACGGACTAATATCTAGCATATACAAGGAACAAACAACTCAATTGCAAAAAAAAAAAAGCAATCCCATTAAAAAATGGGCAAAATATCTGAACTGACATTTCTCAAAAGACATACAAATGGCCAATAGGTATATGAAAAAATGTTTAACATCACTGATGATGAAAACCACAATGAGATATTATCTTATCCCAGTTAAATAGTTTTTATCAAAAATGCAAAAAACAACAAATGCTAGCAAAGATGCAGAGAAAAGGGATACATATTTTTGGTAAGAATATAAGTTCGTACAGTCATTATGGAAAACAATATAGAGATTTCCCAAAAAGTTAAAAATGGAACTACTATATGATCCACAAATCCCACTAATGGGCATTTACCCAAAGAAAAGAAAGTCAGTATATCAAAGGGTTACCTGCACCCCATGCTTATTGCAGCACTATTCACAATAGCAAACATGTGGAATCAACCTAAGTTTCCACCAACAGATGAGCAGATAAAGAAAATGTGATACATACACACAGTGAAATAAAAGTCAGCCATAAAGGAGAATGAAATCCTGTTATTGGCAGCAACATGGATGGAACTAAAAGTCATTATGTTGAATGGAATAAGTCAGGCACAGAAAGACAAACATCACAAGTTCTGTCTCACATGTGGGAGCTAAAACAGTTGATCTCATGAGGTAGAGAGTAGAATGACAGTTATCAGAGGCTGAGAAGGGGGGTTGAGGGTAGGGAGAATGAAAAGAGGTTGGTTAATGCGTAAAACATACAGTCACATAGAAGGAATAAGTTCTAGTGTTTGATAGTACAGTAGGGTGACTATAGTTAACAACAATATATTGTACATTTCAAAATAGCTAGAAAAGAATATTTGAAATGTTGCTAATATAAAGAAATAATAAATGTTTGAGGTGATAGATATCCTAAATACCCTGGTGTGATCATTATATGTTCTATGTATGTATCAAAATATCACATGTACCCCATAAATATGTGCAGATATTATGTATCAATAATAAATACAGTAGTCATATGTGTGGAACAAAGAGCAACTCTTTCCAGAAAGCACTGACCTTTAATCCTGGCAGACCTCGCCTTCCTATTGTCCCCTAAGAAAAATGGAAAGCAGAGACCTTAGAGAAGGATATAAACCAATTTTCACCCCAGCCTACCATCCTCTTCCACAAACGCAGGGGAAATACATCCCTCCAGCTGTTAACACCTACCCAAGGGCCGACATTTCCAGTTTCTCCCTGAGGTCCATCAACATTAGAACTTCCCTGAAAAGTAAGAAATAAAGGGAAGATCAGAAACAAACAACAACAAACGCTAGCAAAACTTTTTGTCCAATACAGAAGGCACTAGGTAGATGTAGCACTTAAATTCGCACCAAATTAAAGATGTAGTTTCTTTGTTATGCTGACCACATTCCAAGTGTTCCATAATTCCATATGGCTAGTGGCTACCACATTGGACGGTACAGACACAGGATATTTCCATGATCTCAGAATGTTCTGTTGGTCAGTGCTCCTCAAGAAGCAAATGGCATTAAATGCTGATGTTTCAAAATATCAGTGTTGTAGGCATCTTTCCCCAGAGATTGTTCCTTTGATGACTCCTCACAGTTCATCACGCTGGGAACACAGCCATGCTTAATATTTGAAAATATTGGCACTTCTCTTTCTACCTGTATCATTTAGGGTCCTGAGTGGCAGATAGAAACAGAAGGTAGAAAAGCGTCTCTCTGAAGACATGGGTGATCAATATATACAGATGCTGACAGAGAGAGAAAGAGGTTATATAGTCACAGTGAGGAAAGAGTCTAGTGTTCTCATTTCTTTGGGGTCAGAAGTGGAAAAATGAGTATTGTCCAGAGAAAAAAATGAGTCTATCTTTTAAGAAAAATGGAAACCATGTGGGATCCCAAGTAGGGGTACCTCAGATAATTATTTCATAAAGTTACATGCTAACTCAATAGGAATACATAAATAGGGAAAGAGTGTGAAATAACAGAAACAAAAACGTTTTGTGCAAAGCTGTTCACCCAACTGTTATTCATAATAGATTAAATTCTGAAACAATTTAAACATCCCACAACATGAGGGAAGTGTTGATCAAATTATGGCAGAAACACTTATTGAAATAGAATGCAACAATTAAAAACTATGTTTTTCAAAAGTTTTTAAAGTACATAAAAGTTTGTGCTATAATACCAAAAGTATTTAGCCTGAATCTAGTTATGGGAAAACAATCATACAAATCCTAATTGAGGGGTGTTTAGCAAAATAACTGGTGTACAGTGTCAGTGTCATGTAAACAAATAACTGAGCAAATGTGATGAAAGGGCACTGACGACACAGGACAACTAAAGGCACCGCATAGTCCTCAGCTGGATCCTGGAACAACAGCAGCAGCCACAGAGGACATTATTGGGGTGCTACGGACTCAAGGTTTGTGTTCCCCTAAAATTCATATGTTGAAATCCTAATCCCCAATGTGATGGTATGAGGAGGTGGGGCCTTTGGAAGGTTATTAGGCTATGAGGGGGGAACCCTCATGGTGGGATTAATGCCCTTATAAAAGAGGCTTGAAGGAACACTATAGCTCTCCTTCTGCCATGTGAGGTTGCAGCCAAGAAGATGGCTATGAACCAGGAAGCAGTCCCTCACCAAACACTGAATCTTCCAGGACCTTGATTTCGGACTTCCCAGCTTCCAGGACTATGAGAAATAAATGTTTGTTATTTAAGCCACCCACTCTATTAATTCTGTTACAGTAGCCCAAACTGCCTAAGACATGGGGCAAGTGGGAAAATTTGAATATGGACTGTGTATTAGAAAATAATATTGGCTGGGCACAGTGGCTCACGCCTGTAATCCCAGCACTTTGGGAGGCTGAGGCGGGCGGATCACTTGAGGTCAGGAGTTCGAGACCAGCCTGGCTAATATGGTGAAACCCCATCTGTACTAAAAATACAAAAATTAGCCAGTGTGTTGGCGGGTGCCTGTAATCCCAGCTGCTCTCGGCAGGAGAATCGTTGAACCCAGGAGACGGAAGTTACAGTGAGCCATTGCACTCCAGCCTGGGTGTCACAGTGAGACTCCATCTCAAAAAAAAAAAAAAGAAGAAAGAAAGAAAAGAATATTGTATAAATATTGAATTTCATGAGGGTGATGATTATATTATGTTTATATAGAAGAATATCCTTTTTCTTAACATATACTTGTTGAATATTTAGAGGCAAATTCTCATGAAGCCTTTAATTAATCCTCAATTAGCTCAGTTACACACACACAGACCCTTAAGTATTTGTATAAAGAGATATAAAGCAAATATAGCTAAAGGATAAAAATTGGTGTTTAGACTTACAACTACATTTTTCTGTAGATTTGAAATTTTTCAGAATGAAGAGGATAAAAAGTAACAGGTTCATCATGGACTATTTCAACAATACAGAGAATAAAATTAAGGTAAAGAAACACTAGGGGCTGGCATGTTGCTGCTACAAACAAGTTGGTTTTTCTCTCTCCTTTCACTTCCTTTCTTTCTTCCCTCCCTCCCTCCCCGTCCTTCCTTTCTTCCTTTCTACATTCCTTCTTTCTTACTTCTATTCCTTCCTTCTTATCTCTGTTTCTTTATTCCATACAAGGGAATAGATACAGGCTGGCAATTCCACAGCCTCCACCGTAAGTGAGCTGAAGGACAAACCCAGTTCTACCAAATACTGAAAAAAGTTGTAACCCACTCCTTCTGAAGGAACTGAGGGTGCTGACAATGGACACTGTGTCCCATGTAAAGTGCACGCACTCTCAGCCATAAAAGAGAACCAAATTATGTCCTTTGCAGCAACATGGATGCAGCTGGAGGCCATTATCCTAAATGAACTAATGCAAAAATAGAAAACCAAATACCACATGTTCTCACTTATAAGTGGGAGTTAAATCTTGGGTTCACACAGACATAAAGATGGGAACAATAGACACAGGGGACTCTGAAAGGGGAGGGAGGAGTGGGGCAAGGAGTGAAAATCTTCCTATTGGGTACTATGTTTACTACTTTGGTGACGGAAGCCCAAACCTCAGTACCATGCAATATACCCTTGTAACAAACCTGTACATTATCCCCTGAATCTAAAATAAAAATCGAAATTAATAAAAAAGAAATACACAATTTTGGCAATATAGAAATATTCTACAAATTTGGACTCAGGTTAAATACAGGGTTGCAACCTGCTTTTTTCACTTGATATTACATCATGGATGTTTTCCATATCATGAAATCATCTTCTACATTATGTTTCATGGCCTAATACTATTCCACTGTGTGGAAGAGCATTGTTTACATAAATATTCCTTTATTATTAGATATTTAAATATTTTCAATGTTTTACTACCTTAAAAATCACTGCAATGACCATCCTTGGAGCTAAATCTTTGTGTTGCACCATGATTAGCGTACAGATAAATTTCTAGGACTAGAAAGGGTAGATCAAATTACATACACATCCTTTTATTTTTATTATTTTTATTTTTTTAATTTTTTTTTTTTTTGAGACAGAGTCTCGCTCTGTCACCCATGCTGGAGTGCAGTGGTGTGATCTCTGCTCACTGCAAGCTCCACCTCCCGGGTTCACGCCATTCTCCTGCCTCAGCCTCCCGAGTAGCTGGGACTATGGGTGCCAGCCACCACGCCCGGCTATTTTTTTGTATTTTTAGTAGAGATGGGGTTTCACCGTGTTAGCCAGGATGGTCTCGATCTCCTGACCTCGTGATCTGCCTGCCTTGGCCTCCCAAAGTGCTGGGATTACAGGTGTGAGCCACCATGCCCAGCCGACATACACATCTTAAAGCTGTGGCAGACTCAGTTGGTGGCCTACAAAACAGGCCCTCCCTTCCTCTGTGCTAAGAAAATCTGGTCTTTTTAGTTTTGTTTGGAGCAACGACATACCCAGCTCCAGGGGATGAACAGGCCTAAGCCAACTGTGATGATCCCATTTCCTTTTGTTAGAGACTTGCTTTCTCTGGATCTCTTGAAATGGGGCAAGGGCTGTTGGGGAGCACAGGGTCTATTTTAGCTAATGAGCTATAAAGAGAATATTGCTGGGAGTAATTTGATGAAAGGAAAGCCCCTTTTCTCCTGACATTTTATGTAAAGGTGAAGACAAAAAAACACTTGGAGCTGCTAAACCTAGGGACCGAAAGCTGACACGTTGAGGATGGCAGTGTGGGAGGAAAGGCGCCGGGTCCCTGACGACATCACTGAGGTTCGATGGGACCATAAACTGATGTGCCAAAGTTGTCATCACCTATCCCTGGGTTATAAAACACATTTATTAGCTAAACACTGCTAGTCAGGCTTTCATTGGTATATTTAAAAACATTAAAAAAAAAAAAAAACCAGTAATCCTAACTGATGACTGATGTGCATTGCCTATTGCCTCCCGAAAAGGTTGTATTGACTTTCATTCTCCCCAGAAGTGTTACTTTCTCACTTCTGACTGGTATGATTGGCTCTCCACGCTTTCTCCAATATTAGGTATATAATAAAATTATTCTGCTTGGTCAGAAAGACTGCTTCATCAGGAAAACCTCTCCATCCAGACTGCAACATTTAAGCCACTCTTTGGTTCATGTCAGAAAGGAGCCGTTGCCCCCTAGAGAGCTATCTCCCAACAGCACTTAACAGGCTAGAACAGGGGTGTCCAATCTTTTGGCTTCTCTGGGCCACATTGGAGGAAGAAGAATTGTCTTGGGCCACACATAAAATACACTAACACTAACAATAGCTGATAAGCTTTAAAAAAAAAAAGAAAGAAAGAAAGAAAGAAAAGAAAAAGAAGAGAAGAGAAAAAAATCTCATAATGTTTTAGGAAAGTTTACAAATTGTGTTGGGCTGCATTCAAAGCCATCCTGGGCCACATACTGCCCATGGGCAGTGAATTGGACAAGCTCAGGCTAGAATGTCAGCATCTACCAGCTTCAGGGTAATATAGCTGGTGGGAGTGATTTCTGTTATCTAAGTCTATTCAAAGGATATTTAGTTACCACCGTTTTTTGGCCCAGCATGGGAGCAGAAACCATGGGGAACACAAATGGAATATGTCACAGCACTGCCCCAGAGGGTTACAATTTTTGTTTGCATGTACAAGTAGGGATCTGGTGATCAAGGTTAACCCTTGGCTAAACTCAGTGATGGAGACCTCAGAAAGCTGTGAACATGCGGCTCTTGCTGTGTCTGCAGTGCTCTGATGTACACAGCACTGGACAGTTTGTCTAGAGGCCTAGGTTCCTTCCCAGCAGTAAAACCTTGAGCAAATAAGAGAACCAGTCTGAATAGACAGATCATGATCTTTCTTCTCACAACAACCACAACTCATGGAAGCTTTGAAATGGTTTCTCTATCTTCCTTCCCTCCTTCCAGATGAAACCGGGGCCCACATGGGTTAAGGGTTGCTGTCCTGCTGCTCCCTTAGCTCAGTTCCATAGCCGATTGAGTGGCTGTTCACAGGGCTCTCTGATGTCAACTCACCACAGGACACCCTCTCAATGGGGTTTGTCCAAAACAACTGCAATTAACAACAGGATGAGATTCTTGCAGCAAGTCATGCTGGTTTTCTCACACAGCAACATAATAATCATCTTGTTACAAACTGCATTTAACTCAGGATCTAGACATATGTAAAAGGAATGCAAACTAGCTACAGAAGAGAGCCAATGTCCTATAATTTTGTCAAAGGATGAAAAACTGGAGTTCAAAGTAATAGAGGTTCCTCTCTAGCTGCAAACGTTTCTCTATGCAGACCTCATGCCTGGAAATTAGGGAAGATATGAGGACTGAAGCACTTGGGTTATTTTAGTCATTTTTCAGAATCATACATTTTAATGTCTGGGACATGAAAATCTAAAAATGGCTGCCAAGAAGTTAACATCGATCAAAGTTAACAAGTCTTTTTGCTTCTGTGATGCCTTCTATCACAATGCTTCTAGTTTTCAGAACTAGGCAAGGATTTCACCTTAAAAAATGGCTAATACCCAGTTCACATCAATCAGCACTGGCTGTGACAGAAAGCAAGCCAGCACTGTAATGACCCTGAGTACCTTCTAAATCAATACATCATTATAAAGATAGAGAATTTAGAAACCAGAAATATCTTAGGCATTATTGAGTCTGGTGCTTTCATTTTGGAGATGAGGAAACCAAGGACAAAAGATGTAATGTTGTAGGAGAAAGGATTCGTATAGAAAAAAACAACTATGAATTAAGTATGCAAGGACGAGGATGTCAGTGGAGATTGGCATTCAGAGCTTCTATCTCCATAGACAGTGGATTCCCACAGGCTTGCTCTCTGGTTTTTTATGCTGATCCTACCGGAATGCCCAAGTCCTCTGCCCCAGCTAGCATCCGTTCCCATGTAGCCCCTCAAGGAAACAGAACATCTTACCTGACGCCCACGCCTTCCTTTTTCTCCCTTAGGGCCTTGGATATAGCTATTAGTTCCAGGATCCCCCTGAGAAAATAAAGGGTTCATTACCTCAAATGGACAGAAAAGAAATTATAGGAAGAATTATTTAAAACAAAACAAAACAAAAAAATAAGGTACAACTAAAGTGGACCCTTTTTATTGTCTGGGCCTGCTCAAAAATCTTAGACTTTTAATCCAATTAAAATTCCAACCTTTTTAAGAACTCAACTTTTCTATAAGTTTTCCCTCAAATCTTTTATTTGTTGCAATACTAAGATAGGGTGAGCAGATGCTTTATTAATGAATAATTAATTGCTCGTTGCCTTTGTGTCACGAGCAAACAGTTCTCCAGTCCCTGGAATTAAAGCAGCAGAAATCCCCCAACATCACTCACAGGATCTCCCCTTAACCCAGGCTCTCCACGCTCTCCAGGTTGTCCTGGCAGTCCCGTCAAGCCCTTAAATCACAAAGAAAAAATGTGTCACTTTTAAAAATCACATATTGCCTAGAGAGAAGAGAACATTAAGAGCGAAAATAAGAATCAAATGAAAAGAGCAACTTAGTACTTGAATTTTAAAGCATTCACTGCCAAGGGGGTGAGATTGAAAGGTAAAGAAGGACATACTTTTATTGGCTATCTGCCATATGCTTGGACCTAGATGTGTATTACCTCATTTAGCCCTCACAACTCAGGAATTCACCAATTTGCATTATGCAGGACCTGAGATTCTAGGAAGTTGGGCCCAGGTCTCCCTATCATCAAATTCCTTGATCTTTCCACCCTTTGGTGGTGCTCCACACAGAAACACATGTTGTTGTTGCTGTTGTTGTTGCTTAAAAAGGGGGTGGTGGTGAGAAGGGCTTTCTCCATCATGAGCATGGGCAGCAGCGGTAGAGCAAGGTCTCACGAAAAAGAGAAAGGAGAGAACAATGTTTCCAGAGCTCCCGACTACTGCAGATAGGAAAACAGAGGGGTGAAGAAACTTGCCATAGGACTATGACAAGTAAATGATGCTTCTCTTAAATGCTGCCATGATCTGTGCCATTCCTGTGTCGTAGCGCCCACAGAGCCATGAACTGGGGAGAGGCTCCACCACAGGTGCCTTCC